>NC_000006.12:5969090-6120606 GCF_000001405.40 Homo sapiens | reverse complement strand
TCTCTTCCCACAGTTGAGCATTCCGGCAGCATGGGTGATAGCTGACATTGACTATCACAGCTGGCAACTGAATGCACTATGAGGGAATCTAAGGACAAGTCTGCTGCCCCAGTCCCCTTCCTCCAATATTTGATGACCCGATCCGGGATCCTGGGAATCACCCAGTCCAGTCCACCAATGGATGTCCATCAATGGATGATTGGATAAAGAAAATGTGGCATATATACAGAATGAAATACTATTTGACAATAAAAACAAACAAAATTATGACATTTTCAGCAATATGGATGGAACTGATGGTATTTACCTTATATAAAATAAGCTAAGCCTAAAAAGACAAATATTGCATGTTCTCATTTATATGTGGGAGCTAAAAATACTTGATCACATGGAGATAGAGAGTGAAAAGATAGATAACAGAAACTGGTAAAGGTGAGGGGAGCTGGAAGGAGGCTAAAAAGAAGTGGGTTAAAGGGTACAAACATATAGTTAAACAGCAGGAATACATTCAATGTTTGATAGCTGAGTAAGGTGACAATAGTTAACAAAAATGTATTGTACTTAGATAATAAACACCCTAAATACCCTGACTTGATCACTACACATTATATACATGTAACAAAATTTCACATGTATGCTATAAATTTGCACAAACAAAAAAAAGGGGGGAGGGAAAGAAACACTTTACAAAATAGCTGTTTTGTAACCTTCAAAATTGTCAAGGTCATGAAAGCCAAGGAGAGACTGGGTAATTGTTTGAGGTTGAAGGACTCTGAAGACATGATTATTTTGCCATAAAGAGCATTGTTGGGACCATTGTTGAAATGCGAACAGGGCCTTAGGATTCGATGTTAATGACATTAATAAATAAATTAATATGGAGGATTAGTTTTCTGATGTTGATGATTCTGTTATAGGTATGTAGATGAATGCCACTGTTCAGTGAAAATATACTCTAAAGTTTTCAGAAAGTGATGGGGTATCGTGTCAGCAACTTACATTGAAATGGTTAAGCATGAAAGGTTTTTGTATGCATACTTTCAACTTTTCTTTAAGTTTGAAATGATGTCAAAATAAAAAGGCAAATGTCAAAGCTCGTTAATGTTATTGCAAGGGAAAGTACACCCTGTAATAGTCAATATCAGAAAATTTTTTTTTAAAGGCCGGGTGCAGTGGTTCATACATGTAATCCCAGCACTTTGGGAGGCTGAGGTGGGCAGATCACAAGGTCAAGAGATCGAGACCATCCTGGCCAACATGGTGAAACCCCATCTCTACTAAAAATACAAAAAATTAGCTGGGCATGGTGGCATATGCCTGGGTCCCAGCTAATCGGTGGCTGAGGCAGGAGAATCACTTAAAACCCAGGAGGCGGAGGTTGCAGTGAGCCAAGATGGCACCACTGCACTCCAGCCTGGCCACAGAAAGAGACTCCATCTCAAGACAAAACAAAACAAACAAAACAGGATAGTAAAAAAGATGGATGATGGAAATGACAACAGAAAAAAATAAAGAAGATTATGAGAACCTGTACACTCCCAGCCAGGAAGCAACAATTTTAAAAATTAAGATAAATAAAAATCAGGAAAAAATATGAAAGTTTCATTAATAATTTACACAATTTTATAGTCAACAGAACATGCACAAAAGTCAGGAGTAGCTTCGTTTGATGAATTTGTTGATTTCTATTTGTACTGTGATCTTTCCTTATGAAATATATAAGAAATAATTTTCTTCAACTTTCTTTAGTAAAAGACAGTTTGGTTTTTAAAATTATGACCCCAAACATGTTTACAAAGAATCAATTATCACAGTCAATGAATTATTAAAAGTTCTCTCTCAGATACATATTTTAATGATAAAAGTTAAATTTTCAAACTATTATGAAATCTTGATTAGCCTACTACAAAACCCCAAGACACATAATCATCAGATTCTCCAAGGTCAAATGAAGGTAAAAATGTTAAGGGCAGCCAGACAGAAAGGTCAGATCACCTACAAAGGGAAGCCCACCACACTAACAGCAGACCTCTCAGCAGAAACCCTATAAACCAGAAGACAGTGGGAGCCAACATTCAACATTCTTAAAGAAAATAATTTGCAACCCAGAATTTCATATTCAGCCACATTAAGCTTCATAAGTGAAGGAGATATAAAATCCTTCCCAGACAAGCAAATGCTAAGGGATTTTATCACCACCAGGCCTGCTTAGCAAGAGCTCCTGAAGAAAGCATGAAATATGGAAAGGAAAAACCAGTACCAGCCACTGCAAAAACACACCAAACTATAAAGACCAATGGCACTATGAAGAAACAGCTTCAACTAGTGTGCAAAATAACCAGCTAGCATCATGATGACAGGGTCATATTCACACATAAAAATATTAACCTTAAATGTAAATGGGCTAAATGCCTTAAATTAAAAGACACATATTGGCAAACTGAATAGAGTCAAGACCTATCAGTGTGCTGTGTTCAGGAGACCCATCTCACATGCAAAGACACACATAGACTCAAAATAAATGGATGGAGAAATATTTACCAAGCAAATGGAAGACAAAAAAAGAGCAGGGGTTGCAATCCTAGCATCTGATAAAACAGACTTTAAACCAACAAAAATAAAAAAAAGACAAAGAAGGGCATTAAATAATGGTAAAAGGATCAATGCAACAAGAAGAGTTAGCTATCCTATATATATATGCACTCAATACAGGAGCATGCAGATGCCTAAGACAAGTTCTTAGGGACCTATACAGAGACTTAGACTTCCACACAATAATAGTGGGAGACTTTAACACCCCATTGTCAATATTAGACAGATCAACAAGACAGAAAATTAACAAAGATATTTACAACTTGAACTCGGCTATGGATCAAACGGACATAATAGACATCTACAGAACTTTTCGTCCCAATTCAACAGAATATACATTTTTCTCAGGGCCACATGGCACTTATTCTAAAATCAGACACATAACTGGAAGTAAAACACTCCTCAGCAAATGCAAAAGAACTAAAATCATAACAAACAGTCTCTCAGACCACAGTGCAATCAAATTAGAACTCAGGATTAAGAAACTCACTCAAAACCACACAACTACATGGAAATTGAACAACCTGCTTATGAATGACTCCTAGGTAAATAAAAAAATTGAGGCAGAAATCAAGAAGTTCTTTGAAACCAATGAGAACAAAGAGACAACATAGCAGAATTTCTGGGACACAGGTAAAGCAGTGTTAAGAGGGAAATTTATAGTACTAAATGCCCACAAGAAAAAGCAGGAAAGATCTCAAACTGACACCCTAACATCATAATTTAAAAAACTAGAGAAGCAAGAGCAAACAAATTTAAAAGCTAGCAGAAGACAAGAAATAACTAAGATCAGAGCAGAACTGAAAGAAACAGACACACACACACACACACAAACCCTTCAAAAAATTAATGAATCCAGGAGCTGATTTTGTGAAAAAATTAGCAAAATAGACTGCTAGCCAGACTAATAAAGAAGGAAAAAGAGAAGAATCAAATAGACACAATAAAAAATGATAACGGGGGTATCACCACTGATCCCACAGAAATACAAACTACCATCAGAAAATACTATAAATACCTCTATGCAAATAAACTAGAAAATCTACAAGAAATGGATAAATTACGACACACTAGACACTAGACCACTGTATAAGTCCCTAAGAACACTCTCCCAAGATTAAGCAGGAAGAAGCTGAATCTCTCAATAGACCAATAACAAGTTCCAAAATTGAGGCAGTAATTAATAGCCTACCAACCAAAAAAAGCCCAGGACCAGATGAATTCTACCAGAGGTACAAAGAGGAGCTGGTACCATTCCTTTGGAAACTATTCCAAACAATTGAAAAGGAGGGACTCTTCCCTAACTCATTCTATGAAGCCAGCATCATCGTGATACCAAAACCTGGCAGAGACACAACAAAGAAAGAAAACTTCAGGCCAATATCCCTGATGAACATCGATATGGAAATCCTCAATGAAATACTGGCAAATCAAATCCAGCAGCACATCAAAAAGTTTACCCACCATGAAAAATTCGGCTTCATCCCTGGGATGCAAGGCTGGTTCAGCATACACAAATCAATAAGTGTAATCCATCACATAAACAGAAACAATGACAAAAACCACATGATTATCTCAACAGATGCAGAAAATGCCTTTGATAAAATTCAACATACCTTCATTGTAAAAACTATAAATAAACTAGGCATTAATGGAACTTATCTCAAAATAATAAGAGCTATTTAGCAGAAACCCATTGCCAATATCATACTGAATGGGCAAAAGCTGGAAGCATTCCCTTTGAAAACTGGCAAAAGACAAAGATGCCCTCTCACACCACTCCTATTCACCATAGTATTGGAAGTTCTGGCCAGAGCAATCAGGCAAAAGAAAGAAATAAAGCATATTCAAATAGGAAGAGAGAAAGTCAAATTGTTTCTGTTTGCAGATGACATGATTCTGTATTTAGAAAACCCCATTGTCTTAGCCCCAAAACTGCTTAAGCTGATAAGAAACTTCAGCAAATCTCAGAATACAAAATCAATGTGCAAAAATCACAAGCTTTTCTATACACCAACAATAAACAAGCAGAGAGCCAAATCATGAGTGAACTCCCATTCACAATTGCTACAAAAAGAATAAAATACCTAGGAATACAGCTTACTAGGGATGTGGAAGACTTCTTCAAAGAGAACTACAAACTACTACTCAAAGAAATAAGAGAGGACACAAACAAATGGAAAAACATTCCATGCTCACGGATAGGAAGAATCAATATTGTGAAAATGGCAATACTGCCCAAAGTAATTTATAGATTCAATGCTATTCCCATCAAACTACCATTGACTTTCTTCACAGAATTAGAAAAAACTACTTTAAATTTAATAAGGAACTAAAAAAGAGCCCGTATAGCCAAGACAATCCCAAGCCAAAAGAATAAAGCTGGAGGTATCATGCTACCTGACTTCAAACTATACTACAAGGCTGAAATAACCAAAACAGCATGGTATTGGTATCAAAATAGACATATAGACAAATGGAACAGAACAGAGACCTCAGAAATAACACCACATATCTACAACCATCTGACCTTTGACAAACCTGACAAAAACAAGCAATAGAGAAAAGATGCCCTATCTAATAAATGGTGCTGGGAAAACTGGCTAGCCATATGCAGAAAACTGAAACTGGACCCCTTCCTTACACCTTATACAAAAATTAACTCAAGATGGATTAAAGACTTAAACATAAGATCTAAAACCATAAAAACTCTAGAAGAAAACCTAGGCAATACCATTCAGGACATAGGCATGCACAAAGACTTCATGATGAAAACACCAAAAGCCACAATTGACAAATGGGACCTACTTAAACTAAAGAGCTTCTGCACAGCAAAAGAAACTAGCATCAGAATGAACAGGTAACCTACAAAATGGGTGATAATTTTTGCAATCTATCCATCTGACAAAGGGCTAATATCCAGAATCTACATGGAACTTAAACAAAGTTATAAGAATAAAACAACCCCATCAAAAAATAGGTGAAGATTATGAACAGACACTTCTCATAAAAAGGCATTTATGTGGCCAACAAATATATGAAGAAAAGCTAATCATCACTAGTCATTAGAGAAATGCAAATCAAAACCACAATGAGACACCATCTCATGCCAGTTAAAATGGCAATCATTAAAAAGTCAGGAAACAACAGATGCTGGAGGGGATGCGAAGAAATAGGAACGTTTTTACACTGTTGGTGGGAGTGTTAATTAGTTCAACCATTGTGTAAGACAGTGTGGCAATTCCTCAAGGATCTAGAGCCAGAAATATCATTTGACCCAGCAATCCCACCATTGGGTATATACCCAAAGGATTATAAATTATTCTACTATAAAGACACACACAAACGTATGCTTATTGCAGCCCTGTTCACAATAGCAAAGACGTGGAACCAGCCCAAATGCCATCAATGATAGACTAAATAAAGAAAATTTGGCACAGATACACCATGGAATACTATGCAGCCATAAAAAAGGATAAGCTCATGTCCTTTGCAGGAACATGGATGAAGCTGGAAACCATAATTCTCAGCAAGAGAATAACACAGAAAGAGAAAAACAAACACCACATGTTCTCACTCATAAGTGGGAGTTGAACAATGAGAACACATGGACACAGGGAGGGGAACCTCACACACTGGAGCTTGTCAGGGACTGGGGAGCTAGGGAAGGGACAGCATTAGGAGAAATACCTAATGTAGGTGACGGGTTGATGGATGCAGCAAACCACCATGGCCCGTGTATACCTATGTAACAAACCTGCACGTTCTGCACATGTATCCCAGAACTTAAAGTATTAAAAAAAAAAACTATGAGAAATAAATAAATACAAATTAAAAGTTTTTTTAAGCTGAAGAGAAATGATACAGATAGAAACTTGAATGTACATGAAAGAATTAAGAGTATCACAAGTGAGCAATTATAGACTATTTTCTCATTTCCTAATTTATTTAAACATAATTGATTAAAGCAAAAAATAACTGTGCAGAATTATAGAGTTTATAACATATGTAAAATAAAAATGTATAGCAACACTAGTGTAAAGGTTGAAAAGAAAGAACACAAAAGTACAATGTTATAATAATCTCATATCATATGTGAAGTGGTATAATATTATTTGAAAGTAGACTGATAAATTAAGCCTGAATGCTAAAATTAATAGCCCAAATTTGTTAAAACCCTAATTTGAGATGGGGAAGAAAAAGAACGAAGAGCAAGGTAGTAGTCTTATATCCAGTGATACAAAAATATAAATGGACTAAATTCTCCCATTAAAAGACAGAGGTTTTCAGAATGTATAAAAAGAAAGGCTCAATTATGTGCTATTCACAGAACTTGCATATTTATATAAAGACAAGGAAATAGTAAAAATTTTAAATAACAAATGCTAAACATAAGAAGGCTGTAGGCCAGGTGTGGTGGCTCATGCCTATAATCCCAGCACTTTGGGAGGCCAAGGCGGGCAGATCACCTGAGGTTAGGAGTTCGAGACCAGTCTGGGCAATGTGATGAAACCCTGTCTCTACTAAAAATACAAAAATTAGTTGGGCCTGGTGGCACATGCCTGTATTCCAAGCTACTCAGGAGGCTGAGGCAGGAGAATCGCTTGAAGCCAGAAAGCAGAGGTTGCAGTGAGCCTAGATCGCATCACCACGCTCCAGCCTGGGCAACAAGAGTGAAACTCCGTCTTAATAAAAATAAAAAAAATAAAAATAAATAAAAAAAAAAGAAGGCTGTAGTGGCTATGTTAATATAAGATAAACAGAAAGAAAAATGTTATCTGTTATCAGATATTAAGAGATGAATAATTCATAATGATGAAAGAGTAAGTTTATCAAGGAAACAATATGCTTAATTAAATATGTATGCATTTAATACATTCACTCAAAACGCATGATGCAGAAATGGATAGAACTGAAGGAAGAAGTAGACAAATTCACAATTATATTTGGACATTTCAACACACTTCTTTTATTAATTGATAGAAGTAGATAAATAATCAGTGAAGATAAAGAAAACTTGAACAATACTATTAACCAACTTGACTTCATTGACATTTAGAGACTATTACAACCAACAAAAGTAGAATATACAGTATTTTCAAGTATTCATGGATCATTAATTAAGATATACTATATTCTAAGCCATAAAACAAGTCTCAACACGTTTAAAATAATAGACATGATACAGAGTATATTTTCTGTCCACAAGGGAATTAAACTAGAAATCAATAATATAACTTATCAGTGGTTGCCTCAAATACTTGGAAATCAAACAATGCTTTTCTAAATAACCCCAAGGTAAAAGAAGAAGCAAACAAAAAGGAAAATATTTTGAACTGCATATTAATGAAAAGGTCACATATCACAGCATCTGAGATGCAGCTAAAAAAGTGTTTAGAGAAATATTAGGTTAGTGCAAAAGCAGTTGGGGATTTTGCCATTACTTTTAATGGCACCAACCTAGTATTTACAGTTTTAAACACTTTATTATAAAAGAAAAAGTTGGAGGGCTAGAACAAGATAGCGGAATAGAAGGCTTCACCAATGGTTCCCCCCACCCTGCAAGGACATCAATTTAATATCTACACACACACACACACACACACCTTCATGAAAGTCAAAAACCAGATGAGGACTCACAATACTGGTTTTAATTTCATATTGCTGAAAGAGGCATTGAAGAGGGAGAAAAAACAGTCTTGAATTGCCAACACCACTCCTTCCCCATCCCCTGGCAGCAGTGGCATGGTGTAGAGAGTGTTCCTGTGCACCAGGGAGGGAGAGAGACTGCAGCAATTGTGAGGCATTGAACTCAGCTCAGTGGTGCCCTATTATAGCAGAAAACAAAACCAGACCAAACTCAGCTGACAGTTGCCCATGGAGGGAGCATTTAAGCCAGCTCTAGCCAGAGGGGAGTTGAGGATCCCAGCAGTCTGAACTTGAGTTCCTGCATGCCTCACCACCGTGGGCTAAAGTGCTCTGGAGCCATAGATAAACTTGAAAGGGAGTCTTGACCATAAGGACTGCAACTCCTAGGCAAGTCATAGTGCTGAAGTAGGCCCAAAGACTGTGGACTAGGGGGCCACAGGACCTACTGAGACATCAGCTGGAGTAGCTCAGGAAATGCTGGCATCTCCCCTACCCCAACCCCAGGTTGCACAGCTTGTGGATCCAGAAGAGATCTGTTTCCTCTGCTTGAGGAGAGGAGAAGGAAGAGTGTGGAGGACTTTCTCTTGCATCTTGGATACCAGCTCAGCCACAGCATGTTAGGGCACTTGTTAGAGGTGCAAGACCTCTTTTCCAGGCCCTAGCTCCCGGACATATCTAGACACACCCTGGACCAGAAGGGAACCTGCTGCTATGAAGGAAGAACCCAGTCCTGGCAGGATTCATCACTTGCTAACTGAAGAGCCCTTGGGCCCTGAATAACCAGCAGTAATACCTAGGTTACATTGAAGACCTTGGGTGAGGCTCTGAGACTTGCTGGTTTCAAGTGAGATGCAGCACATTCCCAGCTGTGATGGCTCGATGGCTGTGGAGTGAGACTCCTTCTGCTTGAGAAAAGAAGAGGGAAAAGTAAAGGGGGCTCTGTCTTGCACCTTTGGTACCAGCTCAGCCACAGTGGGATAGAGTACAAAGTGAGATATTGGGGTCCCTGATTCCAGGACTTGGCTCTTGGATGGCATTTCTGGGCCTTTCTTAGGCCAGAGTGGGGGCCACTGCTCTAAAGCGTGAGTCCCAGACAAGTCAGCATTCACCACAAGCTAACTAAAGAGCCTTTGGACCTTAAGAGAACATTGACGGTAGCCTGGCAGTACTCCCTGTGAGTCTGTGGTGGTGGTAACCTTGGGGTGAGGTTCTTCTGCCTTTGGAACACCAGACTAACTGCCAAGGTTTTTTACTGTAGTCCCTGGCTCCTGGGCAGCACTATTGGACCTGCCTAGGGCCTGAGTAACTCACCACCTGAAAGGAAGGACACAGGCCTGGCTGGCTTTGCCACCTGCTTCTTGTAGACCCCCCAGAGCCTTGAGCGAACATAGGCAGTAGCCAGGGAGTGGTTAAAGCAGGCCTTGGGTTAGACACAGTGGTGTGTCGGCTTCAGTTCTGGCCCAGCACGGTCCTAGTAGTTGTAGCCACAGCCATGCTTGTGTCACTCTTTCAGCTCCAGGTGGCTCAGAACACAGAGAGAGAATTTGTTTCTTTGGGAGAAAGTAAATAAAGACAACAAGAATCTCTGCCTTGTAATCCAGAGAATTCTTCCAGATCTTGTCCAGGGCCATCAAGGCAGTACCTCTACAAATCTGCAGGAACCACAGCATTACTGGGCTTGTGGTGTCCCCTAAAGCAGACACAGCTCAGTGCTTTACTGCACAACATCCAAATCCTTTTGAATATCTGGAAAGCCTTCTCAAGAATGATGGGTACAAACAAGCCCAGAGTGAAAAAGGCTACAATAAACACCTAACTTTTCAATGCCCCAACACAGAAGAACATCTACAAGCATCAAAAACATCCAAGAAAACATGACCTCACCAAGTGAACTAAATAAGTCACCAGAAACCAATCCTGGAGATATGAAGATGTATGACCTTTCAGATAAAGAATTTAAAAGAGCTGCTTTGAGGAAACGCAAAGAAATTCAAGACAACACAGAAAAGCAATTCAGAATTCTGCCATACAATTTTTGAAAAGAGATTGAAATAACTATAAAGAATCAAGCAGAAATTCTAGAGCTGAAAAATGCATTTAGCAAACTGAAGAATGCATCGGAGTCTTTTGATATCAGAACTGATCAAGCAGAAGAAGGAATTAGTGAGCTTCAAGACAAGCTATTTGAAAATAACAGTTAGATGAGACAAAAGAAAAAAGAATAAAAAATAATGAAGCATTCCTAGAGATCTAGAAAATAGTCTCTAAAGGGCAAATCTAAAATTATGGCCCTTAAAAAAGGATGTAGAAAAAGAGATTGAATAGAAAGTTTATTCAAAGGGGTTATAACAAAGAACTTCCCAATCCCAGAGAAAAATATCAATATCCAAGTACAAGAAGGCTATAGAACACCAAGCAGAATTAGTCCCAAGAAAATCACCTCAAGGCATTCAATAATCAAACTCCCAAAGAGCAAGCATAAAGAAAGGATCCTAAAAGCAGCAAGAGAAAAGAAACAAATAACATACAATGGAGTTCCAATACATTAGGAAGCAGACTTTTCCATGAAAACCTTAGTGACAAGGAGAGAGTGGCATGACATATTTAAAGTGCCGAAGGAAAAAGATTTTTACCCTAGAATAGTATATCTGATCAAAATATTCTTCAAACATCAAAAAACAGACAATAAAAAAAGCTGAGGGATTTCATTAACACTAGACCTGTCCTACAAGAAGTGCTAAAAGAAGTACATCAATCAGAAAAGAAAGGATGTTAACGAGCAATAAGAAATTACATGAAGGCACAAAACTCACTGGTAATAGTAAGTACAAAAAAACACAGAATATTGTAATGTCATAACTGTGGTGTATAAACTGCTTTTAAGAAGAAAGACTAAATAATACTAAATGATAAATAACTACAACAACTCTTCAAGACACAGACAGTACAATAAGATATAAATAGAAACAACAAAAAGTTTAAAAGCAGGCAGATGAAGTTCAGGTGTAGAATATTAATTTTCTTTTTGATTTTTGCTTGTTTGTTTCTTTGTTTATGCCAACATTGTTAAGTTTGTATCAGCTTAAAATAATGGGTTATATGATAGTATTTGTAAGCTTCATGGTAACCTCAAACCAAAAAACACACAACAGATACACAAAAAATAAAAAAGCAAGAAACTAAATCATATCACCAGAGAAAATTACCCACACTAAAAGGAAGACAGGAAGGAAAGAAAGAAGGAATAGAAGACCACAAAACAACCAGAAAACAAGTAACAAAATGGCGGGAATAAGTTCTTGCTTATCAATAATAATATTGAATGTAAATGAACTAAACTCCAATCAAAAGACAGAGAGCAGTGGAAGGATAGAAAAAACAAGACCCATGATCTGTTGCCTACAAGAAACACACTTCACTTTTAAATATACACACAGACTGAAAACAAAAAGGTAGAAAAAGATATTCCATGACAATGGAAACCAAAAAAGAGCGTGAGTAGCTGTACTTACATCAGATAAAATATATTTCAAGACAAAAACTGTAAGAAGACAGAGCATCATTATATAAAAATAAAGGGGCCAATTCAGCAGGGGGATATAAAAATTTATATATTATGTATATATTCTATATATAAGATATATAATAATATATATAAATATATATAAAATATATAAATGTTTTAATTTTTTTAATATATAAAATATATAAATTTTATATTTATACAAATATAAAATTGTACATTTAATGATTTTAAATATACATTCACCCAACACTGGGGCATCCAGGTATATAAAGCAAATATTATTAGAGCTAAAGGGAGAGATAAACCCCAGTACAATAATAGCTGAAGACTTCAGCAGCACACTTTCAGAACTGGACAGATCTTCCAGACAGAAAACCACATAATATTGGACTTAATCTGCACTATAGACCAAAGGGAACTAATAGATATTTACAGAACATTTCATCCAAAGGCTGCACAATACACGTTCGTTTTCTCAGCACTTGTATTATTCTCAAGGACAGACCATATGTTAGGTCACAAAAAAAGTCTTAAAACATTAAAAAATAATTGAAATTAAATCAAGCATCTGCCCTGATGATAATGTAGTAAAACTAGAAATCAATAATAAGACCAATTTTGGAAGCTATACAAATATATGGAAATTAAACAATATACTCCTGAATGACCAGTGAGTTAACAAAGAAATTAAGAAAATTAAAATTTTTCTTAAAACAAATGATAATGATGACACAAAATATCAAAACCTATGAGATACAGCAAAAGCAGTACTAATAAGAAAGTTTGTAGCTATAAGCATCTACATCAGAAGAGAATAAAAATTTCAAATATACAACCAAACGATGCATCTTTAAGAACTAGAAAAGTAAGAGCAAACCAACCCCAAAATTAGTAGAAGAAAAGAAATAATATAGATCAGAGCAAAAATAAATGAAATTGAAATGAAGAAAGAAATATAAAACATCAATGAAACAAAAAGTTGGTTTTTTGAAAAGTTAAATAAAATTGAAAAACCTTTAGCCAGACTAAGAGAAAAAGAGAGAATATCAAAGAAGAAAAAGGACACATTACAACTGACACTACAGAAATTCAGTAGATCATTAGTGGCTACTAGGAGCAACTATAAGGCAAATAAGTTGAAAGATTTAGAAGAATGGATAAATTCCTGGACATATGCAACCTACCAAGATTCAACCACAAAAAAATCCAAAGCCTTTTTTACAAAGGTGCCATGAACATACACTGGGGAAAATACTCTTCAATAAGTGATGCTGGGAAAACTGAATATCCATATGCAGAAGAATGAAACTAGACCCCTATATCTTGCCATATACAAAAATCAAATCAAAATGGATTAAAGACTTAAATCTGAGACCTCAAACAATGAAACTACTACAAGAAAACCTTGGGGAAGCTCTCCAGGACATAGGTCTAGGCAAAAAGCAACCAAAGCAAAAATGGACAAGTGGGATTACGTCAAGTTAAAAAGCTTCAGCACAGCAAAAGATACAATTAACAAAGTGAAGAGACAACTCACAGAATGGGAGAAAATATTTGCAAACTACCCATACGACAATGGAATAATAACCAGAATATATAAGGAGCTCAAACGACTCTATAGGACAAATTGAATAATCCAATCAAAAGATGAACTAAAAATTTGAATAGACGTTGCTCAAAAGGAGACAGACAAATGACAAACAGGCATACGGAAAGGTGCTCTTATCATTGATCATCAGGGAAATTCAAACCAAACTACAATGAGATATCATCTCACCTGAGTTAAAAGAGCTTATATCCAAAAGATAGGAAAAAACAAATGCTGGTGAGAATGTGGAGAAGAGAAAACTCTTGTACACTGGTGGGAATATAAATTAGTACAACCCTCATGGAGCACGGTTTGGAGTTTCCCCAAAAAACTAAAAACTGAGCTACTGATCCAGCAATCCTACTGCTGGGTATATATCCAAAAGAAAGGAAATCAGTATATCAAAGATATATCTGCACTTCTATATTTGTTGCAGCACTATTTACAATACATAAGGTTTGGAAACAATCTAAGTGTACACAACACATGAATGGTTAAAGAAAATGCGGTACTTATACGCAATGGAGTCCTAGTCAGCCATAAAAAAGGATAAGATTCTGTCAAATGCAACAACATGGAAGAAACTGGAGGTCATTATGTTAAGTGAAATAAGCCAGGCACAGAAAGACAAACATTGCATGTTTTCTCTTATTTCTGGGTCCCAAAAATCAAAACAACTGAACTCAGGGACATAGAGAGTAGAATAATGGTTACCAGAAGGTGGAAAGGATAGTAGGAGAGTGGGGAGAAAGTGAGGATTGTTAATGGATACCAAAAAAATAGAAAGAATGAATAAGACCTAGTATTTAATAGCGCAACAGGGTGACTATAGTCTATAATAATTTAATCTTACATTGTAAAATAACTAAAAGAGTATGAATGGACTTTTTGTATCAAAAAATGCTGAGGAAATGGATACCTCATTTTACATGATGTGATTATTATGCATTGCTTGCCTGTACAAAACATCTCATGTACCACAAAATTATATACACCTAGTATGTACTCACAAAAATTAAAACAAAAAAATTTTAAATAGTCTTAAATTATCTAAACTTCAACCTTACTAAGCTGTAAAAAAGACTACATCTAAAGTACGAAGAGGAAGGAAACAATAAAGATCAGAAACTAAATTAAGAGGCAGTGGCCAAGATGGCTGACTAGAAGCCCCTAGTGTGTGCCACTTTCACAGAGAGAAATAGAAGGGGCAAGTAAATACAGCACCTTTAAATTAAACACTCAGGTACATGCATTGCATTTGGGCTTCATCAAGAAAACAACTTAACCCATGGAGAAAGGAGTAAAGCAAGGCAGAACAATTGCCCAACTGGGAGTAACACAGAGCTAGGGGAGACTCCCCACCCCAGAGCAACAGTCCCAGTCCTCACTTCTCCAACCTGGGACTCCAGCACAACCACCCTGCCCCCTACTGACCACTTCAATCAGAGGCAGCCCAACAGTTAAAGGAACACTTACAAACAGAGATGAGAAAGAATCAATATAACTCTAGCAACTCAAATGGCCACACTGTCTTATGTATCTAAATGACTGCACTAGTTCTACAACAAGGTTTCTTAACCAGGCTGAGTTGGCTGAAATGAAAGAAATAGAATTTAGAATATGGACAGGGACAAAGATTATCAAGATTTAGGAGAATGGGAAAACCCAATCTAAGGAAACCAAGAATCACAATAAAATTATATGGGAGCTAACAGACAAAATGGCCAGTATACAAAATAACCTAATTGATCTAATAGAGCTGAAAAACAAACTACAAGGATTTTACAAAGCAATTGCAAGTATGAACAGGAGAGTAGATTAAACTTAGGAAAAATTCTCAGAAATTGAAGACTGGCTTTCTGAAATAGTCAGAAAAACAGCAAAGAAGATTTAAAAGGAATGAACAAAACTTCCAAGAAGTATGCAATTATATGAAGAAGCCAAATCTTTGAATCATTGCCATCCCTGAAAGGGACAGGGAGAAAGTAAACAACTTGGAAAACATATCTCAGGATATCATCCATGAAAACTTCTCCAGCATCAGTAGAGAGGCCAATAGTCAAATTCAGGAAACCCCTGCAAGATTCTACACAAGAAGGCCACCCTCAAGATACATAATACTCAGATTTTCCAAAGCTGAAATGGAAGAAAGAATGTTAAAGCCAGCTAGAGAGAAAGGTCAAGTTCCCAACAAAGGAAACCCCATCAGGTTAATGTTGGACCTCTCAGCAGAAACCCTACAAGCCAGAAGAGATTGGGGGCCTATATTCAACAATCTTAAAGAAAAAAATCTTCAACCAAGAATTTCATATCTAGCCAAACTGAACTTCTTCAGAGAAGTAGAAATAAGAAATTTTTCAGATAAGCAAATGCTGAGAGAGTTAATTACAACAACACCTGCCATACAAGAGATCTCAAAAGGGGCACTAAATGTAGAAAGACTTACAAGCCAATGCAAAAACACACTTAAGTACACAGGTCAGTGTAAAGCAACCACACAAACAAGCCAGCATAGTAACCAGCTAACAACACAATGACAGGAAAAAATCCACACATATCAATACTAACCTTGAATGTAAGTGGGCTAAATGCCCCATTTAAAAGGCACAGAGTAGGCCAGTCACGGTGGCTGACGCCCGTAATCCCAGCACTTTGGGAGGCTGAGGTGGGTGGATCACTTGAGATCAGGAGTTTGAGACCAGCCTGGCCAACATGATGAAACCCCTTCTATACTAAAAATATAAAAATTAGCTGGATGTGTTTGTACACGCCTGTAATCGCAGCTACTCGGGAGGCTGAGTCAGGAAAATCACTTAATCCTGGAAAGCAGAGGTTGCAGTGAGCCGAGATCGCACCACTACACTCCAGCCTGCGTGACAGACCAAGACTCCGTCTCAAAAAATAAATAAATAAAAGGCACAGAGTAGCAAGCTGTATAAATAAGCAAGACCCAATGGTATGCTGTCTTTAAGAGACAAATCTCACACACAATGACACCGATAGGTTCAAAATAAAGGAATGGAGGTACCAAGCAAATGGAAATCAGAAACAAAAGCAGGGGTTGCTGCCTAATTTCAGACAAAACAAACTTTAAATCAACAAAAATCAAAAACGACAAAAAAGGGCATTACATAATGATAAAAGGTTCAATGCAACAAGAAGAGCTAACTATCCTAAATATATACACAACCAACACGGAAGCATCCAGATTCATAAAACAAGTTCTTAGATACTTACAAAAAGACTTAGACTCCCACACAATAATAGTGGAAGACTTCAACATTCCATTGACAGTACTAGATAGACCACTGAGGTGGAAAATTAACAAAGTTGTTCAGCACCTGAACTCAACATTGAACCAAATGGATCTGATAGGCCTCCACAGAATTCTCCACTCAAATACAAAAGAATATATACATTCTTCTTATTGCTGCATGGCACATACTCTAAAATCAACCACATAATCGGATATAAAACAATCCTTAGCAAACGCAAAATAACTGAAATCATATAAAACACACTCTCAGGCCACAGCACAATAGAAATAGAAATTAAGACTAAAAAAAGTTGCTCAAAACCATGCAATTACATGAAAATTAAAGAACCTCCTTCTGAATGACTTTTGGTTAAATAATGAAATTAAGGTAGGAATCAAAAAGTTTTTTGCAACTAATAAGAACAAAGATACAGTATACCAGAATCTCTGGGATACAGCTAAAGCAGTGGTAAGGAGGAAAATTTGTAGCACTAAATGCCCACATCAAAAAGTTAGAAAGATTTCAAATTAACAACCTAACATCACAACTAGAAAAATTAAAGAAGCAAGAGCAATCCAACTCCAAAACTTGCAGAAGACAAGAAATAACCAAAATCAGAACTGAGGGAGATTGGGACATGAAGAAACCACTGAAAAGATCAACAAATTTAGCAGTTTGTTTTTTGAAAACATTAATAAGATAGATAGGCCACTAGCTACATTAACAAAGAAGAAAAGAGAGAAGATCCAAATAACTGCAAGAAGAAATGACTAAGGAGATGTTCTCACTGACCCTACAGAAATACAAATAACCATCAGAGACTTCTATGAACAGCTCTATGCACACAAACTAGAAAACCTGGAAGAGATGGATAAATTTCTGGGCACATACACCCTTCCAAGACTGAATGAGGCAGAATTGATTTCCTGAACATACCAGTAATGAACCCTGAAATTGAATCAGTAATAAATATCCTCCCAATCAAAAAAAAAAAAAAAAAAGTCGAGGACCAGATGCATTCACAGCTGAATTCTTCCAGACGTACAAAGAAGAGTTGGTACAATTCCTGCTGAAACTATTACAAAAATTGAGGTGGAAGAACTCCTCCCCAACTTATTCTATGAGGCCAGCATCATCCTGATATCAAAACTTGGCAGAAACACAACAAAAAAAGAAAACTTTGGTCCAATATCGTTGATGAACATTTATGCATAAATCTTCACCAAAATATTTGCAAACCAAATCCAGCAGCACCTCAACAAGCTAATCCGCCATGATCAAGTAGGCTTTATCCCTTAGATGCAAGGTTGGTTCAACATGAGCAAATCAATAAGTGTGATTCATCACATAAACAGAACTAAAGACAAATATCACATAATTATCTCAATAGATGCAGAAATGCTTTTGATAAAATTCAACATCCTTTCATGTTAAAAACTCTCAATAAACTAGATATTGATGGAACATAACTCAAAATAAGAAGAGTTATCTATTGCAGAGCCAACATTATACTAAATGGGCAAAAGCTAGAATAATTTCCATTGAAAACTGGCACAAGACAAGGATACCTTCTCTCACCTCTCCTATTCAACATAGTATTGGAAGTCCTGGCCAGAGCAATCAGGCAAGAGAAAGAAATAAAGGCACCCAAACAGGAAGAGAGGAAATCAAACTATCTCTGTTTGCAGATGACATGATTTTATATCTAGAAAACCCATAGTCTCAGCTGAAAAGCTCCTTGAGCTAATGAACAACCTCAGCAAAGTTTCAGGATACAAAATCAACATACCCAAATCGCTAGCATTTCTACACACCAAAAACAGCCAAGCCCAAGAGCCAAATTAGGAATGCAGTCCCATTCACAACTGCCATGAAAAGAATAAAGTACCTAGGAATACAGCTAATCATGGAGGTGAAAGATCTTGACAATGAGAACTATAAAACATCCACCATGATCAAGTGGGCTTCATCCCTGGGATGCAAGGCTGGTTCAACATACACAAATCAATAAATGTAATCCAGCATATAAACAGAACCAAAGACAAAAACCACATGATTATCTCAATAGATGCAGAAAAGGTCTTTGACAAAATTCAACAACCCTTCATGCTAAAAACTCTCAATATATTAAGTATTGATGGGACATATCTCAAAATAATAAGAGCTATCTATGACAAACCCACAGCCAATATCATACTGAATGGGCAAAAACTGGAAGCATTCCCTTTGAAAACTGGCACAAGACAGGGATGCCCTCTGTCACCACCTCTATTCAACATAGTGTTGGAAGTTCTGGCCAGGGCAATTAGGCAGGAGAAGGAAATAAAGGGTATTCAATTAGGAAAAGAGGAAGTCAAATTGTCCCTGTTTGCAGATGACATGACTGTATATCTAGAAAACCCCATTGTGGCAGCCCAAAATCTCCTTAAGCTGATAAGCAACTTCAGCAAAGTCTCAGGATACAAAATCAATGTACAAAAATCACAAGCATTCTTATACACCAATAACAGACAAACAGAGAGCCAAATCATGAGTGAATTCCCATTCACAATTGCTTCAAAGACAATAAAATACCTAGGAATCCAACTTACAAGGGATGTGAAGGACCTCTTCAAGGAGAACTACAAACCACTGCTCAAAGAAATAAAAGAGGATACAAACAAATGGAAGAACATTCCATGCTCATGGGTAGGAAGAAGCAATATCGTGAAAATGGCCATACTGCCCAAGGTAATTTATAGATTCAATGCCATCCCCATCAAGCTACCAGTGACTTTCTTCACAGAATTGGAAAAAACTACTTTAAAGTTCATATGGAACCAAAAAAGAGCCCGCATCACCAAGTCAATCCTAAGCCAAAAGAACAAAGCCGGAGACATCACGCTACCTGACTTCAAACTATACTACAAGGCTACAGTAACCAAAACAGCATGGCACTGGTACCAAAACAGAGATATAGAACAATGGAACAGAACAGAGCCCCCAGAAATAATGCCACATATCTACAACCATCTGATCTTTGACAAACCTGAGAAAAACAAGCAATGGGGAAAGGATTCCCTATTTAATAAATGGTACTGGGAAAACTGGCTAGCCATAGGTAGAAAGCTGAAACTGGATCCCTTCCTTACACCTTATACAAAAATTAATTCAAGGTGGATTAAAGACTTACATGTTAGACCTAAAACCATAAAAACCCTAGAAGAAAACCTAGGCATTACCATTCAGGACATAGGCATGGGCAAGGACTTCATGTCTAAAACACCAAAAGCAATGGCAACAAAAGCCAAAATTGACAAATGGGATCTAATTAAACTCAAGAGCTTCTGCACAGCAAAAGAAACTACCATCAGAGTGAACAGGCAACCTACAAAATGGGAGAAAATTTTCACAATCTACTCATCTGACAAAGGGCTAATATCCAGAATCTACAATGAACTCAAACAAATTTACAAGAAAAAAACAAATGACCCCATCAAAAAGTGGGCGAAGGATATGAACAGACACTTCTCAAAAGAAGACATTTATGCAGCCAAAAAACACATGAAAAAATGCTCATCATCACTGGCCATCAGAGAAATGCAAATCAAAACCACAATGAGATACCATCTCACACCAGTTAGAATGGCAATCATTAAAAAGTCAGGCAACAACCAGTGCTGGAGAGGATGTGGAGAAATAGGAACACTTTTACACTGTTGGTGGGACTGTAAACTAGTTCAACCCTTGTGGAATTCAGTGTGGTGATTCCTCAGGGATCTAGAACTGAAATACCATTTGACCCAGCCATCCCATTACTGGGTATATACCCAAAGGATATAAATAATGCTGCTATAAAGACACATGCACACGTATGTTTATTGCAGCACTATTCACAATAGCAAAGACTTGGAACCAACCCAAATGTCCAACAATGATAGACTGGATTAAGAAAATGTGGCACATATACACCATGGAATACTATGCAGCCAGAAAAAATGAAGAGTTCATTTCCTTTGTAGGGACATGGATGAAACTGGAAACCATCATTCTCAGAAAACTATGGCAAGGAGGAAAAACCAAACACCGCATGTTCTCACTCATAGGTGGGAATTGAACAATGAGAACACATGGACACAGGAAGGGGAACATCACACTCCGGGGACTGTTGTGGGGTGGGGGGATGGGGGAGGGATAGCATTAGGAGATATACCTAATGCTAAATGACGAGTTAATGGGTGCAGCACACCAACATGGCACATGTATACATATGTAACAAACCTGCACATTGCGCACATGTACCCTAAAACTTAAAGTATAATAATAATAATAATAATAATAATAATAATAAACTTTGCTCAAATTAATCAGGGAAGACACAAATGGAAAAGCATTCCATGCTCGTGGATAGAAAGAATCAATATTGTTAAAATTGTTTAAATGGCCATACTTCCTAAAGCAATTTACAGATTAATTGCTATTCCTATCAAACTACTGATGACATAGTTTTTTTTTTTTGAGGAGGAGTCTCGTTCTGTCACCCACGCTGGAGTGCAGTGGCATGATCTCAGTTCACTGCTACCTCTGCCAGCCCGGTTCAAGCGATTCTCCTGCCTCAGCCTCCCAAGTAGCTGGGATTACAGGCACCTGCCATCATGCCTGGCTAATTTTTGTATTTTTAGTAGAGAAGGGGTTTCACCATGCTGGCCAGCTTGGTCCAAACTCCTGACCTTGGGTGATCTGCCCAGTTTGGCCTCCCAAAATGCTGTGATTACAAGCATGAGCCACTGTGCCCGGCCCCAGTGACGTTCTTCACAGATCTAGAAAAACTATTTTCAAATTCATGTGAAACAAAAAAAGGGCTCTAATAAATAAGGCAATCCTAAGCAAGAGGAATAAACCTGGCGGCATCACATTACCTGACTTCAAACTATATTACAGGGTACAGTAACCAAATCAGTGTGGTACTGGTACAAAAACAGACACATAGACCAATGGAACAGAATAGAGAGCCCAGAAATAAGGCTGCACTCCTACGACCATCTGGTCTTCCACAAAGATGACAAAAACAAGCAGCGAGTAAAGGACTTCCTATTTCATAAGTGGTGCTGGGAAAACTGGCTAGCTATACGCAGACAATGGAAACTAGAACCCTTCCTTATACCATATACAAACATCAACTAAAGACGGATTAAGGATAATATTAAAAATTATGAAATCCCTGGAAGACAACCTAGGCAATACTATTTTGGACATAGGAACTAGGAAAGATTTCAGGACAAAAACACCAAAAGCAATCGCAACAAAAGCAAAAATTGATAAATGGGATCTAATTCAAATTAGGAGCTTCTGCATAGCAAAAGAAACTATAAACAGAGTAAACAGAAAACCTACAGAATGGGAGAAAATATTTGCAGACTATGCATCTGACAAAAGTCTAATATCCAGCATCTATAAGGAACTTAAATGAATTTACAAGAAAAAAAGCAACCTCACTAAAAAGTGGACAAAGGACATGAACGGGCACTTTTCAAAAGTAAACATATACATGGCCAATAAGCATATGAAAAAAGGCTCAATATCACTGATAATTAGAGAAATGTACATCAAAACCACAATGAAATGTCATCTCACACCAGTCAGAATGACTATTATTAAAAAAAAACAAACAGGTGGTGGAAAGGCTATGGAAAAAAAAAGAATGCTTACCTACTGTTGACGGGAGTGTAAATTAGTTCAACCATTGTGGAAAGCAGTGTGGCAATTCCTCAAAGAGCTAAAAACAGAAATAGCATTCAACTCAGCAATCCTATAACTGGGTATGTACCCAAAGAAATATGAATCATTCTGCCACAAAGACACATGCATGCATGTATTCATTGCATCACTATTCACAATAGCAAAGATGTGGACTCAATCTAAATGCCAATCAATGGTAGACTAGATAAAGAAAATATGGTACATATAAACTGTGGAATACTACACAGCCATAAAAAAGAATAAATTTATGTCCTTTGCAGGAGTATGGATGAAGCTGGAGGCCATCATTCTTAGCAAACTAATGCATGAAAAAAAAACCCAAATACCACGTGTTCTCACTTATAAGTGGGAGCTAAATGATGAGAACACATGAACACAAAGACAGAAACAATAGTCATTGGGGCCTACTTGAGGGTGGAAGGTGAGAGGAGGGAGAAGAACAGAAAAAAACAACTATTGGGTACTAGATTTAGTACATGGGTGATGAAATAATCTGTACAACAAACGCCCATGACACGAGTTTACTTGTATAACAAACCTGCATGTCTAACCCTGAATCTAAAATAAAAGTTAAAGAAAAAAAAATTAAATAGCAAATAGACAATGTTTTAAAATCAAAATATCATATGATGATTCTCAGAGAATACTAATAAAATTGATAAATCCTTACTAGATTGGTCAAAGAAAAGGGAGAGAAGTCACAAATTATTAATAACAGAAAAGAAAATGGAGACATAACTATAGATCTTACAGATAAAGGAAAATAAAGAAGCGGGGAAAACAACTTCATGACAAAAAATTTAACAACTTATATGAAATGAACAAATACATTGAAAAACACAAATTACCAAACTGACTTGAGAAGAAACAAAATCTAAATAACCCTATATTTTCTCAAAAACTTTAATTTGTAAGTAAGCCTTTTCAAACACACACAAATAAATCCAGACCATTGACTTTACCAATAAATTTCATCAAACATTCACAAATTCTACACAAACTTTTTTAGAAAACATAGTAAAATAGAATACTTCTCAACATATTTTATGAGGCCAGCAATAGCCTGATATGAAAACCAGACAAAGAAATTTTTAAAAATAAAATTGTAGACCAATATCCCTCATAAATATAGACACAAAAATCCTTAACAAAATATTAGTAAATCAAATCCAGAAATATACAAAGAAGGTAATATATCACAACTAAGTAGAGTTTTTTTAAGGAATGCAAATTTGCTTTAACATTTGGGAATCAATCAATGTGCAAATCTACACATTAATATAATTAAGGAGAAACAACAAATGATGGCGGGTTGCAGTGGCTCACGCCTGTAATGCCAGCACGTTGGGAGGCCAAAGTGGGCAGATCACCTGAGGTCGGGAGTTCGAGACCAGCCCGACCAAAATGGAGAAACCCTGTCTCTACTAAAACTACAAAATTAGCCGGGCATGGTGGCAGGTGCCTGTAATCCCAGCTACTTGGGAGGCTGACACAGGAGAATCGCTTGAACCTGGGAGGCGGAGTTTGCAGTGAACTGTGATCGTGCCATTGCACTCCAGCCTGGGCAACAAGAGCAAAACTACGTCACAAAAAAAACAAACAAACCAGAAACATATGATCATCTCGCTAAAGACAGAAAAGGCACTTGGCCAAACTAAACCCCTGGTAATATGTATATATTTTTTTAATTTGCAAAGTAGGAATGGGACAAACTTCCTCAACCTTATAAAAACTCACATGGGGCCGGGCACGGTGGCTCACGCCTGTAATCCCAGCACTTTGGGAGGCCGAGGCAGGTGGATCACGAGGTCAGGAGATCAAGACCGTCCTGGCTAACACGGTGAAACCCGTCTCTGCTAAAAATACAAAAAATTAGCCCGGCGTAGTGGCGGACACCTGTAGTCCCAGCTACTCGGGATGCTGAGGCAGGAGAACGACGTGAACCCTGGAGGCAGAGCTTGCAGTGAGCCGACATCACGCCACTGCACTCCAGTCTGGTCAACAGAGCGAGACTCCGTCTCAAAAACAAAAGCGAAAACAAAAAACAAAACTCATATGGAACAGAATAACTTACAATGAAAGATTAAACTCTCCCCTATTATAATTGGAAACGAAGCAAGTATATCCTCTCTTGCTGCATCTATTTAACATTGTAAATGGGGGTCCTAACTTGGGCAATAAAAAATAATAAAAGGCATATAAATTAAAACAGAAAAAGTAAAAATGCCTTTATTCATAGATGACATGACTTCCGCTTACAAAATCCCAAAGAATTTGCAAATTAAAAACCTACTAAATCTGTTAAGTGAATTTAATAAAGTCATAAGATACAAGGTCTTTATACAAAAATGAAATGTGTTTCTATACACTAGCAAGAAAATTTCTAAAATAAAATGTTTCTAAAATCTATTTACAGTCACTTTTAAGGCATAAGATAATTAAAGATAAATTTCACAAAATATAGAAAGATCTCTACACTAAAAACTATAAGACAGTATTGAGGAAAAATTAAAGACCTAAATGATGGAAAGATATACAATGTTCATGGTTTGGAAGTCTTAATATTCTTAAATCAATTCTCCTCAAGTTGATCTATATATTGAATTCAATTTCAATAAAAATTCCTTATGGGATCACATAGAAATTCACAAGCTGATGCTAAAATTTATATGGCAATGTAAAGGACTTAAAATCCACAAAACCATCTTGAAAGAAAGAACAAAGTTAGAATATATATTTATATAATCTGATTTTAAGGCTGACTATATAGCTACAGTAATCAAGATGTTGGTGTAAAGATAGGCCTATAAATCAACAGAATAAAATAAGAGAGTCCAGAAAGAGACCCACATATATATGGTAAATTAAATTTTGACCAAAGCAATTCAATGGAGAAAGAAGTTCTTTTTAATAAATGATGCTGGAACCACTAGGTATCCTTGCACGGAACAAAATGAAACTTAACTCATAACTCATAACATTTACAAAAATTAATTTGGGATGAATCATAGACCTAAACGTAAAACTTAAAACTATAAAGCTTTTAGAAAAAAAATAGGAGAATATTTGGACATTTCTCTTAGCATTCAGTATATATATATATATATATATATATATATATATATATATATATATATACACACACACATATATATGTGTATGGATATATATATATGTACACACGTATATATATTGTGTGGATATATATATATGTGGATATATACAAGCAAGAGAGGATATACTTGCTTTGTTTCCAATTATAATAGGGGAGAGTTTAATCTTTCACTATAAGTTATTCTGTTCCATATGAGTTTTGTTTTTTGTTTTTGTTTTTGTTTTTGTTTTTGAGACGGAGTCTCGCTCTGTCGACCAGACTGGAGTGCAGTGGCGCGATGTCGGCTCACTGCAAGCTCTGCCTCCAGGGTTCACGCCGTTCTCCTGCCTCAGCCTCCCGAGTAGCTGGGACTACAGGCGTCCGTGTATCGTGTATATATATATATATCGTGTATATATATATCGTGTGTGTGTGTGTATATATATATATATATATATATATATATATACCTCCTATGAACCAGCAATTCTACTTCTAGGTATTTATCCAAGAGAAATGAAAAATAAATGTACATAAAAAGTATTGTACATGAATTTCAATAGCAGCTTTCTTCATAAGAGCAATAAAACTGGGTGGGTTGGGGAAAATATTCTCAAGATAAGAATAAATAAGCAAATTGTGGTTACATTCATACAAGGAATAACCCTCAGCAATAAAAAGGAGCAAACTATTAATACATGCATATGCGACAACATGAATGAATCACGAAATCATTTTGCTGAGCAAAAAAAAGTCAGACACAATACAATTCTATTTAAATGAAATTAAAGAATAGGCAAAACTAATCTATGTTGGTATAAATCAGAAAAATTGTTGCCTCCTTGTGAGTATGGGCAAAGGCAAGGATTGACTTTGAAGGGGAAAAAGGATTTTCTCGGATAAGGAAATACTCTATTTAAAAAGTTTATTTCAATAGTTCTTGGGGTAACATTCCATATCTTGATGGATGTGTGAGCTACACAGACAGAAGTTTCTCCAGTATGAGGTAGTTTACTCACAGGCAAGCAGGAGTCAATTCTTGGATGAATAATCAATAATAGGACAAGGTTGCATGGCTGGTTTGACCATTTTGTGAACTAACATGCCAAAAACAAACAAATAGGCCCCCTAATTTGTATTGCACATATTCTATACAAGGTAGAAGGTGAGAATGAAAATAACAAATGAACAAGATGTTCCATAAGGATAGACAAAGTCTGGTACTAATCCAGTATTTCCCCCTTATCCAAATGTGATGGACTGAAAGAATCCAGGATCAAAATCAAGCTTCATCTCCTAACAGACCCTGATCATGTACCAGATGGGAATATTTAAAATATACCCAGAAAAGCAACCTCTCAATGACAGCGAATTTTAGCACAGGAAGGCTGATGCTGACGTTCCTATACTTTCATTTTCTGTGATTCGATGAGCTACTTTGACATTACTCCTGGTTAATGACAGTTATCAAGATGCTTTGATTCTCTTTCTCACTCTGGATCATTTTACTTTCCATCAGTGACTTGCAATTCTATCAGTGACAAATCAATTTTCTTCACAAACTATCAAGGTCAACTTTCACAAACACTGTAGTCACAGCCACAAAACATCTGTTAAGACAGATCACAGTTGAGGGAGCAATTAATTTATTCCCATCTCATGGCTTGACTGGCCCCCAGTGGGGTGATGTGATGCATCTGCTCATTCAACACATTGCATCATTACCTCCTCTGTGCCGGAGCACAAGCCACAGGGCAGTGATCAAAGCAGACAAAATATCTGCCCTCATGGTGCATAGATTCTGGTTGAGGGAGACAGGTAATAAACAATTTAGTTAAATAACAGTGTGGTAGGTATTGTAATTTTAGATGAACTAGGCAAGGAAGGCCTCAGAAAAGAGTTGACAACTGAGAAAATACCTGAAGAAAAAGAGGATGTGAGCCACGTACATCTCTTGGGTAAACGTTTCCCAAACTGAGGAATAACAAGAGCAACGTTTGGAGGCAGAAAAGTATCTGTCACATTCAAAGAACAGCAAGGAAACCAGGTGGCTGGAGCAGAGGTGAATAAGTGCGAAGTTCTGGAAGCTGAGGTCAAAAAGGTAAGTGCAGATTTTATCACATAGGGCTTTAGAGCCATTCCAGGTGCCTTGCTTTTACTCTGAAGTGGGAAACTACCAGAGGCTTTTGGGTATAGGAGTCGTGTGACCTGACTTTGATTTTAACAGAATCACTCCAGCTGCTCTGTTGACTATGACCAAAGGAGGACAAGGGCAGACATAGGAAGGCCAGTGAAGGTTGCATTAAATGCAATGAAGTTTGACTAGATATTTATCTGCCCCAGCCTCTGGTCCTTAAGTTTATACATCTAAGCTAAGATACTGTTAGCGGAAAAGAAGGAGCAAAGCAACGTGCAACAAATCTATGTCATTTTTTGGCAACAAGTCATAAAAATTTTTGAGGGGTAAAGAGAGAAAATATTAAGAAGTGTTCTCCTTCACCTTTCTTTCTCTCTCTTTCTAGCCAAGCTTTCCATGCTCACCTAAACTGGTGGCATTTTTGTCTTTGATGTGACTGATTTTGAGGTGAAGGAATGAATCTATGACTTGGTGGTACTCCTGCTGGCCTTCTATCGATCCGTGAATTAAAAAGGAAAGAAAAATTTCCTAAGAAGGACCAAAGGGAGTTAGGAAAGGTGGTTTATAAAGTGGGAGAGATAATCCTAGACGGATGTACAAGGGCGAAAGAAAATCCTATGACTTGATCTTGTTAGGAAGCTGACCTAGAAAGACTGGGCTTTGTAAGAAGCCTTGATCAAGAGTTACAAGAAAGGGAACATATAAAAATGCTGGAAAGGTTTTCAACCTCAACATTATCACTGGGAGGGATCCCTCATAGTTGGATCTTGAATTTTGGGGAATTAAAGCACAGAGGGTACCATCCTAATTCCACCCCTGTGAACTTACTGAACAGCTTGTGAACTTACTGAACAGCATAAGCAGTTCATTTTTCAAACAGAGAGCTTTACTCACACAGGAGAATTTCCTGCAACTAGAAAATAGTTCCGATAACTGTCTCTCTTTTATTAGCTATGGAGGACATGTCCATCACTGCTGGTGCATGAGGTAGGGCATGGGCACTGACAGCAGTTCAAAAATCTATCGTAAGTGGATTATAGGGGTTGGCCAGAAATATAAAGTAGCATTAAGTGTGTTAGATACTGGCATGAGGCTGTGAAGAAGATGCAGAAAACACTCTCCTCTACATTCATTGTTTCACTCAGCATAATCAGGGTTGAGGGAGAACACTCAAACTGAAAGTAGTGAGGTTTCTCTTTTCCTGGATTCCATTCAATGTAGGGGTCATTTTCAGTGGTCCCAAGAGCTAAATTGGGCAAAGTGGATTTCTACCATCTGAGCTCCTCACTCACACTGGGACAGTCATTTTGCACTATGAACATTACACACTGTTGGTAATTGTTTGGGGCATTTTCCAGGTGTAGAACAAAAGCCCTTTGGCTCACAAAATGGCTCCAAATGTTGCCATCGACTCTCCAAATATTTCCAGTACTTCAAATCCAAAATCATTACTATTGATTTTGAAAGGCATTGATTACAATTTCTTCAGAACTCTATGTTTGTTTCTTTGGAAAAAGCATTGTTTCATGGCAAAAGAAGAAAAACTGATACATATTTTAGGTGCTTTCACTTGATGAGTCACCTTCTCTCCATTTTTCAAAGTATTCATTGGTCTGTTTGAGGGCAAGAAATGACCTAAATACCCTAATGCAGCAAGGACCGGCAGTTTCTATCCAGCCATGGCCCCTCGAAAAGTGACTATTCACCCCCCTTTAGTGGGGGTGAGTTCCTATGATTTTTTCTTGCCTTGGTATCTATTTTGAATATAGGTTTAAGTTTCTTATACCAGAAGACTTTAGTTACCATTGAAAGAGTTTCCAGTTCTCCACCTCCTCCAGTTCCTCAGGATGGTCAATCCAAATATCTGCCCTAAACAACCACCTCCTGGTGACCACCTGCCTATGGGTCAGCTCACTATACAGCTCGCTTGACTCACCCCCACTCACCCATACACCCCACATAGACTGTGCAGAAATGCTGTGGTGACCACCTCTTAGTCACAGCGTGACTCCATAGAACTCATGCCTCCTGGTTGTAAACCCACCAACTAGAACTCCCCATAGGGAATCCGCCTGGGTAGCAACCTGGAGCCCATCAAAGACTTTGGCCACACAAGTCCCTTACTATCTCTTGATCCCCACCTGAGTGTGTATGTCCAGGATGGCTTCCCCCTTTCCCTTGGCCCTGTGAGGCATGCTGCTCTGTTCTCTCTGGGACTTGTAAGTAATACACTGCTCCTGGTATTTCGTGTATTTTATTGAGCTGCCTCCTCTGTGTCTCAACTGACTAATACGCCCCAATCTAACTTCTTTCCCAGTTAGGGCTCTCCTGGAGTGTGGCTGTGTTGGTAGGAATAAACTGAACACAGCTCAGACAAGAGCACAAGGACATCTGCCAATCTAACCAAGTTTCTTGTGAGAGGGACACCTGATCACAGGTCAAACACTTGGACCAGGATAAAGAAGTACCCCATGAAAGGCACACTGTAAACACCCATGATCAAATCCCCTAGAGACCCCCCTACTTGTCTCTTGCTAAGAAAGGGTGCTAAGGAATTAGGTCGCAATTTTACTCCTATTCTCTCCCATCCAGAGCGTCAACTCTAGGTTGATTTTTCCTCTTATAGATTCGCTAAAAGCAAAAGGAACTACCTTATCCCTTCAAACATGAAATGTACTACTTGTAACCAAAAAGGCACTCATTAGAAAAAGGAAACTTATCACCAAAGGCACATGGTGGTCTTGGTCCACACTACCTTAGTGTTGTGGTTGCACTGTTGTTGAGAGAACTCCAAGACTTACGTTTCAATGTTGAATGGACATACTAATTCATGTCCACTTCTTTCAAAAACTCTAACAATTTATTTGGTTGGGCCAGTTTTATAGTTTCTACAAATCTGTAAAGCTTTCATTCAAAAAAATCCCTGGCCATTTATTCATTTGACAATCAGGCATGAGATACAATTTCTATCCTTATTACCAGCAAGCTAGCAGGAGATGAGAATGTAAACTATTTTCAGTTAGGCCAGACATTCCTATAGAGGTTGCTGTTCTTCCCACTTTGACTAGTGTCAGAAGCGTGCACTGGAAGTCCCTAAAGTAATTGTCCAGAGGACGGCAGGGTCTAAAAACAGCCTTATCTAATAGAAACGTAATGCAAGCCACATGTGATTTGGAATACTCTAGTAGCCACATTAAAAACAAGTAAAAAGAAACTGATAAAAATCATGCTCTTAATATATCTTAAATGACCACACACTTAGTGAATTAAAACCAGATAAATGTATTATCTGGAGTCCAAAATGGGTCTCATTGAGCTAAAATCAAGGCATTGATGGGGCCATGTTCTTTTCTGGAGACTCTAGAGGAGAACTTGTTTTCTTGCCTTTTCCAGCCTACAGAGGCTGCCCACTTTCCTTTGCTTGTATTCAAAGCCAGTAATAGCTGGTGGAGTCTTTCTTAGATCACATCACTTCGATGCTGACTCCTCTGCCTCCCTCTTCCACATTTAAGAACTTTTGATGACATCGGGCCCACCCAGATAATCCAAGATGATCTTATTTGAGGTCAACTGATTAGCAACCTTAATTCCACCTGCAACCTGCATTCTCTTTTGCCACATAATAAAACGTAGTCACACGTTCTGGGGATTAGGACATGCACATCACAGGGAGAGGGGTCTTATTCTGCCTTCTACAGTCAATATAAAAATTATTAATAAAATATTATTATTTTTTGTTCTTCTCACTTCAAATTCTTCAAAATTCTGTGTGTATTTTGCACTTACAGCACATCCCAATTTCAAGGACAGTCACATTTGAAGGACTCAATAGCCACATGTGGCCAGTAGCTACCAAAATGGATAGCAGAGATTTAAAGCAAGGGTTCTCAACTTGGGCTGTACATTGGAATCCTCTCAGGAGGAGCTTTTTAAAATCCTGACTCTCAACCCATACACCATTCCAAAGAAGTCAGAACTTAGGCATAAGTAATTTTTTAAAGCTCCTCAGATGATTCCAATCTGTAGCCAAGATTGAGACCCTTCAGTGTAGGGCAAGAATAAACCTCATTCTTTCTATGAACTTGAAACACTTCCCCAGTCTCTCTCTCGCTCTCTTTTTTTTTCTGTCTCTCTCTCTCTCTCGAATCAGAGCCATTTCCCTGGTGGCAAAGGCTTAGTGGTTGTGCCATGCTAGGCATTTAAAATGGTAGGTGCTCTGTGTGTGTGTGTGTGTGTGTGTGTATACAAAGGTGTGTGCATTTAGCTCTCAGCATTCGAAAACATACTCAGTGTAACTTCTGAGTCTTCTGACTCACTCTGAGATCCATTCACTCACATCCTCTTATTCACTAGATATTTAGTAAATACCTGTTGTGTGCCAGGAAATACACCAGAACGTTCTGGCTCTTTCTGTCCATGGTTTGTGAGAGAAGCTGCTATGGAAGAATTTTAGGGTCAAAATTTTTATCCCATGCTGCCTGATGACTCTTCTGGGGACACAGACACACACACACACAGACACATAAATGCATATTTTTTATAACACTGGATAGACATTGCTGCAGTTAGATCTGAGCAAATCCATTCTATTCCAGAAAAACAACCCAGGATGAACTCCTTTTCCAAGAGAAACTGTGACATCTTAACAGTGACTTTGCCGACAAGTGCAAATGATGCAATGGTCCCTGAACCCTGAAACAGCAAACTCCCTTGCACCTCTTGCAAACCTTTCCTGTCACCTATTTGCCTCCCTTTCTGTCACACTTTTCTCTCTGCTTTGAATATTCCTGGGTCTCTCCTCTTCCTTATGAAGACGGTCCTCCATGACCCGGTCTGCCTACCTTCTACTCTCCTGCTTTCTTAGGTCACTAGATCATGTCTGTTACCCACAGTCTCAGTTCCACTTCAACTGTCCCCTTCTGAAAGTTAGTACAAATCCCACCAAATGCTCACTACCAGAGTGTTCCTCATAAACAGAAAACCCTTCTCCCTCTCTTTCTTCTCTCCACACTTATTACACACAGAATAAAATCTAAGGTCTTTAACATCCTCCACGATGTTAGGTTTGTTTCTCTGGAAAAAAGCATTGTTTCATGGAAAAGAAGAAAAACTGATATATATTTTAGGTGCTTTCACTTGATGAGTCAACTTCTCTCCATTTTTCAAAGTATTCATTGGTCTGTTTGCATACTGATGTGACCCAATTCCATTTGCACTTTCCTCTCCCACTTCCTACCCCCAACTAGACTCTCTTATTCCCTGAAGAGAAGAGATTCTGCATTTTGCCCAGGTTGAGTTCACTTCCTTCACATCATGAGTAGGCACTTTACCCACATTTCCTGGCTCTTCTCGACAAGTCTCACAGGACCTTCCTACACTAATCCATCTGAGGATGCAATCTGATTGGTGTATTTAAGTCTGCGTCTTGACCTCTGTATTAGTCAGTATTCTCCAGAGAAACAGAACCAATGGGATGTATATGTGTGTATATATAGAGAAAGAGATTTATTTTAAGGAATTGGTTCCCATGATTATGGAAGCTGGGAAGTTTAAAATCTGCAGAGTGGGCAGGTGGGCTGAAGACCCAGGGAAGAGCCAAGGTTGCCATTCCAGTTTGAAAGCTATCTACTGACAGAATCCCCTCTTCTTCCTGGGAGGGCAATCTTTTGTCCTATCCAGGACTTCAACTGATGGGATGAGGCCCACCCGCAATATAGAAGGCAACGTGCTTTACTGAGTCTACTAATTTAAATGTTAATCTCATCCAAAAACATATTTTCACAGAAACATTCATAATGTTTAAATAAATATCTGGGTACCATAGCCAGCCAAGCTGACACATAAATTAACCATCACAACCTCTGAGCACCAGAGGGCAAAGACTATTACTTTTTCCTCACTGTACCCCCATCTCATTGCCCCACTCACAGTGTGCCATGATAGCTTACTCATGGCAGGGGCTTAGTAAACATGGCCTGAATTGAGTCCAATCAAAACATATGCAGAGGCCCTGACTGTGAAGGAAAGCCAGCATTCTGTCACCCACACTAGATTTGCAAGGTACTGTCCTTCTGCAGGACTTTTCTTGACTTTGAGGCTTTCTCCTCTCTCCAGACTGCATTTGCCTATAAGTAGTACAAAATAAATATTTTTTAATCTCAAATCAAAGTAACTACTTGCCTTCAAAATCTCCTTGTTCATAATGAAAATCTCAAATCACAACTTGGGTGCCTCAGAATGTCCAAATATGCCTTTGGCTAAGCAAACTTAAGGATACAAAAGAGAAAGTCACTAAAACTAAGTCTAGTTTGTTAACCTGGGAACTTCTGCAGGATTGAGTATCCCCTCTTGACTTCCCCATGGAGCCGGCCAAGGCCCAGGACAGTATACAAATGTATATGCAAAGGCTCAAAAGACAGAGGTCTCAGTGAAAAAATAAGGAAATAGGGGATCCCCAACCCACCACATCCTGATACTTCTGATCTGCAAGGAATTGCTGAATAAGCAGTTGGCCTACTGGCCAGAAAGCCCTGGGGGATTGCAGCTGAGGAGGGGAGGAAAGGCAGACACTGCCAGACTGCCCTAGCTGAGGAGCATCTTACGGGAAGAGACGGAGCTCAGAAAGGCTCATTTCCTTTTTTTCTCTTCCACTAAGACTCATATGGTTTCATAATGGCATTTTAAGCTAGCTGTTAATGTTGGTAATGTAGTTTGGGAAAAAGCAAAAAGGCCTAATTATAAGAATCAATATATTATGTGAAGAGAGAACAAAAGACTCCATTAAATATGAAGCAGGGCTTCAATTCCAACCAGGACAAGGCCAAACAAGGAAACTGAAACCATTGTGTGAGGTTGAAGTGAGTAGGAGAGAAAGAAGTTGGTTCAGAGCTCGTTCATTCCTCCTTCCTGTTGAAAATGCTGCAGCTTCACTGGGCAAATTAGATCAGCTGAGTAATCCCAGGCCCACCCAGCACAGAACACATGATAGGTCCTTTGTAAATAATTGTTGAATTAGTTAATGAACAAATGAATGAATAGATTACTTGATGATAGCCCTGCCCTCCTTTATTTCTTTTAGGCCAGTACTATAAAAGTGTGGTCCCCCAAACAGCAGCATCTGCATCACCAGCAAACTTTTTCATAGGGAAAAGTCCCCCTCACCAAAACATTAGGGGTGAGGCTCAACAATCTGTATTTTACTAAGCCCTGCTGGTAACTCTGATGCAGGCTTAAAGTTCAAGAACCTCTGCTTTAGGCAAAGCCCAGGTTTCAATAGGAAATCTACCACTCAAGAACAACACATTTTTAGCACTGCAGGGTGAATCTGACACATTCCCTGACCTCAAGGAGTCTTTTGCAACCAATAGTATTTTTTAATATATTTTTTATTTCAATAGCTTTTGGTGTGTGTTTTTTGGTTACATAAATGAATTGGTGAAGTCTGAGATTTTAATGCACCTGTCCCCCAAGTAGTGTACATCATACCCAATATGTAATTTTTTATCCCACATTCCCCTCTCACTCTCTCCCTTCTGAGTCTCCAGTGTCCATTTTACCACTCTGTATTCCTTTGTGTACTCATAGCTTAGCTCTTATTTTTAAGCAAGAACATATGGTATTTGGTTTTCCATCCCCGAGTTACTTCACTTAGAATAATGGCCTCCAGCTCCATCCCAGTTGCTGTGAAAGACTTTATTTTGTTCTTTTTTATGGCTGAGTAGTATTCCAAGGTGTAGATATACCACATTTTCTTTATCCATTCATTAGTCAATGGGCACTTAGATTGGCTCCATATCTTTGCAATTGTGAATTAATTTGTAACCATTTCTTTGTACTAGTGGCACTTACAAGTTTCAATCAGAAAACTATTCTTCCCTGCTACTGTCCCTTCAAAGACAGCTCAAACCCAACTGCAGACTAAGGTGTTCCTGTTCTCTGAATGACAGCTCCTGCAGAACTGTTTATTTTTCCAGACCCCCCGCCCCAACCGCCAAAGATGATAAGAAGGTTTGGGTCTATTTTAATTTATCTAGCTGAGTGTCAAAATCACCCAAGTCCATACTCGTAATCTCTCCTTCCCACCAGCTCTGTCTTCCTTCAAACAGGAAGTCAGAAAGGAAAGATGAAAATGGTCACCTTCTTTGCCAGCCAAGTTCTTCTATCCCTCTTTCTCCAGTCACCAAGCTGTCTCTGGTTCCTCCAGGGTAGAGCAGTGGGTAGGGGATGGGAAGGTAAAAGTATGAAAGAGCTAATGAAGCAGGATAGATGTGATGGGTACCCCCACTGAATCCTCAGTCTCCAACCCCTTCATATGGACTATGCCTGGCAACTTGTGGTTTTTCACCCAGTCCCTAGTACCTACTAGGATACTCCCCTTTTAAGGCTATCTCACTCCTACAGGCCATTTTCTTGTGTGGAATCACAGAACTATCCCCAAACTGGCACCATTTTGGGGCCCACCTTCTTTGGAATGATGTTCACATCCACACTAGTCACCTCTGTTCATCCCAAAGCCTGGCAAGTGGCATCCAGCACAGTCTTTAACCTTCCAGAGATAGAAATAGACATCAGCTTCTGGGTCCTACCTACCCTAGAAGACTAAAGTCAATTCCCCCTGATTCCTGCCACAGCCCTCAAACATCTCTCTTTGAAAGAAACTTCTTGTTGAATTTTAACCTCCTTCCCTGACTTCTTAGCTTTCAGTTATATGGCCTGCAAAGTAGGTGATGGGTGAATGCTGACAAAACTTGTTTTCAGAAATCACCTTGGCCAAACCCACACAAGTGTTATATTAGTTAGCTCAGGCTGCCATAACAAAATACCACAGACTGGGAGGCTTAAACAACAAATATTTATTGCTCATAGTTCTAGAGTCTGTAAAGTCCAAGCTGATGGTAGCAGCAGATTCAGTGTCTGGTAACAGCCTACTTTCTGGTTCATACACTGCTGTCTTCTTGCTGTGTCCTCAAATTGAGGAGAAAGGAAGCAAGCTGTCTTAGGACTCGTATAAAGACACTCATCCCATTCATGAAAACTCTACCCTCAGGGCCTCATCTAATCCTAACCACCTCCCAAAGACCCCACCTCCTAATACCATCACATTAGGAGGTAGAGTTTCCACATGTGAATTTGGGGGACACAAGTGTTCCGTCTATAACAGATGTTCTCATGCCTCACTTTTAAATGTGTGTTTGGTTGACATCTAGGCCTGTGGGATCTCAAAACTTGAGCCTGTTCGGTTTTAACGTCCTTATATACTACACACATAAATAACTAATGCTTATATGGTGCTTCCCTGTTAATAAAGTGCTCCCTGATGTGATAAGATACATAATGGCTTTAATGGAAATGGATAAGATCCGTATGAAACAAAGAGATGTTTAGAGTTTAGAATTTTTAAAAGAGAGAAAGATCACTTTCATCTGGGGGCATTGGGTCACCATTAATAGATATTCATAGCAATTCAGAATCTGTTCAAATTCATCAGAAAAGGCTTTCTTCATGACACCTCAGTAACTAAGCCTTCAGGATGACAGCCACTCAAACAGGTCATTGGTTTTCCATGAACTCCCTGCTCACTCCCTGCCTCTCACAATCTCTCTGAGATTCCTGATCCCACCACTTCACCTCTCCTGTAATGCTTCTCAAAATTTAGAATTTACCAAGATCCTGTTTGAGACCCTCTTAAAACAGACACCAGCTGCCAAACCATCACTTCAGAGAATCTGTACTGAGAGGTGAGCCATAGCCTCTTTGAACTATGTCTTAATACTGCTACAGGCTGAGTTTTTAGTGCAAGGAATGAAGGAATATGTAAGTAAGGAAACCACATCATGCTTCCCAGATGGGAGCTGGCCACACAGGGCCCATGGGCACTCTATAACATTCCGACTTTCATGTCCTGACCACACCTCAGACCCAACCAGGTCTAAACTCCTGGGGAACAGAAAAACCATGGTGCTAAGGTTTAAATGTTTGTGTTCCTTCCAAAATTTGTGTTGAAACTTAATGGCTAATCTAAAAGAATTAAGAGGTGGGGTCTTCAGGAGGTGATTAGGTCATGAGAGTAGAGACCTCATGAATGAGATTAGGTACCCTTATAAAAGGCCCTGACAGAGGAAGTTTGTCCCTTCTGCCTTTCCACTTTCTGCCATGTGAGGACACAGCGATTCTCACCTCTGGTAGTTGCAGGCTTCATGGTGCCATCTTGAAAGTAGAGACTGGACTCTCACCAGACAAGAAACCTGTTGGCCCCTTGATCTTGGACTTCCCAGCCTCCAAAACTATGAGCAAGAAATTTCTGTCCTTTGTAAATTATCCAGTCTGTTATTTGTTATAACAGTACAATGAGACTAAGACACCTGGGGATTTCATCTGTTCCCAAGATCTCACCTCTTTCCTGTACCATCCCAGAGAGCACAGCTAACGGTCTCACATTGATTGAGTTCAAATAAAGTTTCTGACTTGACCAGAATTTAGAAGAACCTGGTTCTGTGGACCCTAAGGAAGTTCATCTGCCCATCTTCACTTCAGGTGTATTGCCTGTGAATTCATCTCTATTGTGCCGTGATTCTGTGATCTGGCAGACAGCCACAGAAACTAATGCAGCCCTTCTATACTTAACCAGAGATTTCAAATATTGATAAAGCTTGCCCCTCACAGTCCAAGCCCTGGCCAAAAAACATTAAGTATTCAGGAAAATGCATAAAGCTAATTGCTAAACAGCACTCCAGCGTTGAATTCTCCTTAAGGGGCCAGTAAATGGAACATGTTAATAATTTTACAGCACAAATAAAATTGTCTTGAACTGTATAGTGTATATTCTCCATGATACTCTTAAATAGGTTGACTGTACCTCCTGCATCTGCTTCTTTACCACTCACTCACTACCTCCCTGTAACTGTTTTGAATGCCTGAAATGGCCAATACTAACTTCTTAATTCCAGAAGTTTGACATTTTCCCGGGTTTTATGGCCCTCTCTCCCATACTCATTCACCCTACTCCACTCCATGGAAGTTCTCTTCTCTTGACTAACTTGTCTGATGCCCTTCTTTGCTCCCCCAGCCATCTAAATACCATTTCGTATAAATTTTCCTTCTCTGCTGTCTTCTCTCCCCATCATGCCCCAGACCCTCTACTTAGAGAACAACCTCTTCTAGAGCTGTATCACCAATGCCAGCCTCTCACCTGAGCTCCAGTCCAAATGTTCTAAGCCCCTGATAGGTACTTGTAGTTGAATGATCTTTTGGCTACCTGGCATATGACCCCTTTTACTATTTTGGGAGACTTAAAAGATTGAAGAAGCTTTGGTGGGATACAGAGGCTATGCCACGCTATAAATAAGCTGAAAAAGCCAAATACTCACTTTCCCAGCCATCCCTGCAGCTAGGCATGCCCATATGGCCTGTGCCTCTCTGGTGCACCTGTTTCTTATATCAGAAGCTTGTAATCCAAGGAAGCAGGGACCTAGAAGCCTGGCAGTAAAGGTGACTGCAGCAGTGGCCATGGGTGCCACAGGCCACAGTGGCCACAGTGTCCAGGGCTCAGAGGCTCAGAGGCAGCTCCCAGGGGATAACTCCTAATTTGGAGCATTGTTTCAAGGTGAGAAGTTCTAAGCCTGGTTTGTACATTTCCTGAAGACTCTGAAAATGACTCAATCTTCTTTAAAATGTTCCTTTGCCTCTTAAATCAGCGTTGGTGTTGGTTGCTTCCAACTAAGAATCCTAACTGATACAATTTCTTATCCATCATCTCAAATTCAACTTGCCTAAAATTGAATTCTGTTTTTCCCCTAAAACCTGTTATTTATTGTAACTTTCCTTTTCTTTCCAATGACATCATCTTCCCAGTCACCAACACTGTAACTTCAGAGTTATCTTTAACTTTCCCCACTCTTTTTCCCCCAAACATCCGTTCAAGTAGCAGATGCTGCCGGCTTTGCCGTGATAATGCCTTCCTCATTCATGTCTTCTTTTTTTGTTTGCCTGGCCACAACCCTATTCTTCTAATTTAATCTAACTTTAGCATTATACTAATGTAGCAAGCAGCATTCTAACTGGTCTCCCTCCCTTTGAGTTTTTCACCTTTCATTTTAAGTGCATGTCACTTGAAATATTCATACCACCATTTTTCATTGTATCAGTTCCTGCTCAAAATCTTACGTAGGGCTCCCTAAACCCACAGAGTAAATTCCATTTTGGCATCACCCAGAGGCCAACTGGCCCTTTATCCTTGGGTTCTTCCTTCTACGTTCACTGTCTTTATTTTTATCCCACATCAAACTACATGAGCTTAGCTCCTTTTTGGGTTTCCCCAAACAAACCAAACATTGCAAAGTGTTAGTGACCAACTCAGACCTTGAAGATTTCCCAGGAGATATGGAATAGTAGTTCACACCGCACATCCCTATGCAAAGGGGAAATTTACACCCAATGACTCTACTTCCTAAGTCTTTTCTTGGCCATGGAGCCATCAGGTGTGTGTGTGTGTGTGTGTGTGTGTTTCCCTATCCGACCTTTTCTCCACCCAGTACCCAGTCTACCAGGCCTGTATCCCCTCAGTGATTCTCTGCCTCCTGCTAGGTTTCATGAGCCACCTGGGACGGGTTTAGACCTGACTTCAGCCGCTTACTAACCAGGTGACCTCAGGCACGTTGCTTACCTCCTGGCTCTCTGTCTGCCTTTCTGTGTCGGTTTGCTCATCAGCAAGATGAGAATAATAACAGAACCCACCTTGTTAGGGTCATTGTGAGGATTAAATGGGTGGATGGATGTAAAGTGCTTAGACTACAGCCTGGCCCTATACACGCGTTTATTGTCAACGTCCCTGAACTTCCTAGTTACAGGAGCCGCACGTCCTATCTTTGCTTAAGCAAATCTGAATTGGGTTCCTTTCCCCTTGCCATAAAAGACCCTACCATAAAAAATAAATTAAGATTATAAAAGCCATAAAAGACACAACCATACAAAGTAGGTTTTATTTTCTTCATTTTTATAGTGAGTTGGTGAAGCTAGGTAATACTCTTTAGAGTCTAGTATCTAGGTTTTGGCCTCCAGTGCCATTTTAACCATGGGAAATTGGAAAATACTTATTTTATGATCATCATAAATATTTTGCCCCTTAGGTTTTCTGAACTGCCCCATAAATAGTATAGTTCCCTCAAATTTCTGGTTCATTTACTTTTTTCTAAAATAACAGTTTAACTATAAAATATTTTAAACATATAGAAAAGAACTAAAAATAACAGACATCTTGGGTTTATTTCTAAAAGGCTTACAGTTTGTTTCTCAGGATAAGTCTTTAACCCACCAAGAATTTGTTTTTGTGTGTAGGAAGAGGTAGGAATCTAATTGCATCTTTTTCCACATAAGTAACTATTTATAGCTGTATTAAATAATCTATCATTCCCCTAATGATGTGAAATACCATCTTTATCATTTATGAAGTTCCCAGATATTTGTGAGCCAGTTTCTAGATTCTTTATTCTGCCTCGTTGTCTATTCCTCTGCTATGCCCTCCCATAACTGTACATGTTAATTATTACAGCTGTATTTTTCTCTTATACCTCCCTTCTTCTTCAGTTGACGCTATTTCTGCTTTCACTTTGATCACTGCAGCTACTGCTTTTCAAATTTATTTTCTACTGGTTTTGGCCCTTTACTGTTTTATATTATTTTTATTTTTAAAATTTTTTTTCATTTTTAATTTTTGTGAGTACATATTAGGTGTATATATTTATGGAGTACATGAGATGTTTTGATACAGGTATGCAATGCATAATAATCACATCATGGAAAATGGGATATTCATCCCCTTAAGCATTTATCCTTTCTGTTACAAACAATTGAATTATATTATTTTAGTTATTTTTAAATGTACAATTAAATTATTATTGACTACGGTCACCCTGTTACACTATCAAACACTAGGGCTTATTCATTCATTCTATTTTTTGTACCCATTAACCAACCCCACCTCCCCCTAACCCCCAACTACCCTTCCTAGCTTCTGGAAATCATTCTTCTACTCTCTATAGCCATGGGTTCAATTGTTTTGATTTTTAGATCCCCCAAATAAGAGAGAACCTGCCATGTTTGTCTTTTTGTGCCTGGCTTATTTCACTTAACATAACGATCTCCAGTTCCATCCATGCTGTTCCAAGTGACTGAATCTCATTCTTTTTATGGCTGAATAGTACTTCATTGTGTATAAGTACCACATTTTCTCTATCCATTCGTCTGTTGATGGACACTTAGGTTACTTCAAAATCTTGGCTATTGTGAACAGTGCTACAACAAACATGAGTGTGCAGTATATCTCTTCAGTACACTGATTTTCTTTCTTTTGAGTATATACCTAGGAGTGAAATTGCTGGACTGTATAACTCTATTTTTAGTGTCTTGAGGAAACTCTAAACTGTTCTCCATAGTGATTGTGCTAATTTACCTTTCCACTAACAGTGTATGAGGATTTCCTTTTCTCTACATCCTCACCAGCATTTGTTATTGCCTGTCTTTTGTGTATAAGCCATGTTAACTGGGGTGAGATGACAACTCATTGTAGTTTGGATTTCCATTTAGCTGCTGATCAATGATGTTGAGCACCTTTTCATAGGTCTTTTAGCCATTTGTATGTCTTTTTTTGGGAAATATCTATTCAAATCCTTTGCCCACTTTTTAATTGGATTATTGAACTTTTCCCATAGAGTTGTTTGAGTTTATTTATTCTGATTATTAATCCCTTGACAAATGAGTAGTTTGAAAATATTTTCTCCCATTCTGTGGGTTGTCTCCTGACTTTGTTGATTGCATCCTTTGCTGTGCAGAAGATTTTTAACTTGATGTGATCTCATTTGTCTGTTTTTGCTTCTACTGCCTGTGCCTCTGGGGTATTACTCAAGAAATCTTTGCCTAGGCTAATGGCTTGGAGATTTCTCCAATGTTTTCTTGTAGTAGTTTCATAGTTTGAGCTCTTAGATTTAAGTCTTTAATACATTTTGATTTTACTTTTGTATATGGCAAGAGATAGGGGTCTACTTTCATTCTTTTGCTTCTAGATGTCCAGTTTTCCCAGCATCATTTATTAAAGAGACACTGTCTTTTCCCCAGAGTAAGTTCATGGCACCTTTGTCGAAAATGAGTTCACTGTAGGTAGTGAATTTGTTTCTGAGTTCTCTCTTCTGTTCCATTGGTCTGTGTGTCTGTTTTTATGCTGGAACCATGCTTTTTTGGTTACTATAGCTCTCTAGTATAATTTGAAGTCAGATAATGTGATTCCTTCAGTTTTTTCTTTTTGCTTAGGATAGCTTTGGCTATTCTCAGTCTTGTGTAGTTCCATATAAATTTTGGGATAGTTTTTTCTATTTCTGTGAAAAATGTCATTGGTATTCTGATAGGAATTGCATTGAATATGTAGATTGCTTTGGCCATATGGAGATTTTAACAATATTGATTCTTCCAACCCACAAACATGGAATATCTTTCCAATTTTTGTGTCCTCTTCAATTTCTTTCATTAGTGTTTTATATTTTTCACTGGAGAAATCTTTCACTTATTTACTTAAGTTAATTCCTAGGTATTTAATGTTATGTGTGGCTATTATAAAGGGGATTACTTTTTTATTTCTTTTTCAGATTGTTCACTGTTGGCATATATTAATAGAAATGCTACTGAATTTTGTATATTGATTTTGTATCCTGCAACTTTACTGAATTTGTTGATCAGTTCTAATAGTTTTTTGGTGGAGTCTTTAGGTTTTTAATACAAGATCATATCATCTGCAAGCAAGGATAACTTGATAACGTTCTTTCCAGCTTGAATGCCCTTTATTTATTTCTCTTGTCTGATTGCTCTAGCTAGGACTTCCTAGCTAGGACCATGTTGAAGAACAGTGGAGGAAGTAGGCATCTTTGACATGTTCCAGATGTTGATGAAAAGGCTTTCAGCTTTTCCCCATTCAGTATGAGACTAGCTATGGGCCTTGTCATCTACAGCTTTTATTATGTTGAGGTATGTTCCTTTTAAAGCCAGTTTTTGGAGGAAGTTTTTATCATGAAGGAATATTAAGTTTTATCAAATGCTTTCTCAGCATCGATAATTCTCATGTGGTTTTTTCCTTCATTCTGTTGATATAATGTATCACACTGATTGATTTGCATGTGTAGAACCATCCTTGCATCCCAGGGATAAATCCCTCTTGGTCATAATAAATGCTCTTTTTAGTATATTGTTAAATTAGCTTTGCTAGTACTTTGTTGAGGATTTTTGCATCAATATTCATTAGTGATACTGGCCTACAGTTTTCTTTTTTTTTTTTAACTGTCTTTGGTTTTGGTAATCAGGGTTCAGTCTCATTACTTGTATCATCCTAAGGAAATTCCTTTATTTTCTACTTTATTAAATGTTTTATCTTGCATGGCTGTTGAATTTTAATAAGTGTTTTTTCTAGACCTTTTGAGATGATCATATAATTACTTATTTAATCTGCTTATCAGGTAAATTACATTAATAGATGTATTATTTCAAAATGTATTACTATGATATATTATGTTAGATTATTGTATTATGTTAGATCATTCATCCATTCCTTGATTTCGAGTGCCATTATTTTATTTAGGATTTTTCTTTCTATCTTGAGGAGGAAAGAGATAACTGTGTATAATTTTCCTTATTAGCAGGGCCCTTGACCAATTTTTGTAACGAGTTAATACCACCCTCATAAAAGGAATGAAGAGCTTACCTTCTATTTTATTCTCTAGAACACATTATATAAGAATTGTAGTTCCTTAATATTGGATGGAAATAATTAATCAAATAGTTTGAGCCGCTGTTTCGGGGGAACCTTTTTTTACTATCTATTCCATTTTTAAAAATAATTGAACTATCTAGATTTTCTGTGCCTCCTTAAATCTGTTTTGAGGAGTTACATGTTTCCAGGAAATTGTTTGTTTTTACTAAGCTTTCAGATTTCTTGGCAAAAATCCTGTGATTTTTTTTTTTTTTTTATCAGTGTATATAGTTCTATACCCTTAAAGCGCCTTTTTTATTTCTAATGTCATTTTTGGTGACTTCACTAACCTGAAAGTTTTCTCTCTTTTATTAAGGGTTTTTTTTTTTTCTTTCACAGAAATAGTTTCCAGTAGAGTTTTTCTTCTCTAGGGACTATTTTCTATTTCTTTAATTTCTGTTCTTATCCTTATCATTTTATTCTTTAGATTAACTCTTGTCTTTTCTCAATTTTTTGAGTGTATACTTGTGCATTTTCTTATTCTTTCTCTTTTAAACTATGTACATTTAAGGATATGATTTCTTTTCTAAATATACTACTTTATCTATAACCTTAAAATTTTGATATGTAGATATTATGTTGCCATTCATTTCTAAAGATTTTCTAGTTTTCATTGTGACTTCTATTGACTCAAATATATTAGAAGAGTGGCTTTGATTGTCTAAATATAAAGGATGATATCTTTCTTTTACTGATTTCTAAGTTTATTACATTGATATGACAAAATGTTATCAACAGATATCTGTATGATATCAATTTCTTGGCATATTTTGAAACTTGCTTTACAGCTTATTAAATACCCAGTTTTATTGTAAATATTTCCTGTGTGCCTAAAAATAACGTTAATTCCCTAAATGTTGGATACAGTATTCTGTAAATGTAATTAAAATCTTTCATATGTTTTTCCATTATTTGTGAGTGAATTATTCCTTTCTTTTGAATAATGGCCATCTTTATCTCAAATAATGCTTTTTGCCCTGAAATCCATTTTGTCTGGTAATATTTCTGAACCGGCTTTCTTATGATTAGCATTTATCTGAAATAGTTTTTATCCTTTATTTATCAAAGTTTTTTATTAAGTTTTATGTATGTGTATTTTGTAAACAGCATGTAGCTGGATTTAGTGGGCTTTTTTTTCTTAACCTAATCTAAGACTATCTGGCTTTAATAAATCTTTTATCTTTTAGTTCCACATTTTTGTAATTACTGCCTAGTTTTAACTTATTTCCTGTTATCTTATTTTGTGTTTTTTATTGAACTGTGGGTTTTTTCTTTTTTGCTTATTTTCTTAATGTAATTTATTGAATACTGTACTGAAAGTAAAAAACAGAATTGTTGTATGCGTACTTGAAGTAGTTTCTACTGAAGGTGCATCACTTTTACACCACCATAAAGTCAAAAAACCACTGAGTTGAACCATTGTAAGTTGATGATTGATTATACTCAACAGTGTTATATGACTAATGACTGCCAGATTAGATAGTGTAGCTATATTAATGCTGTTTTCTTATTTTCTGTATTCTTTTTCAATACACAATAATTGTACATATTTGGGGATAGAAGAATGATGGTTTCCAGAGGCTGGAAAGGGTAGGGGGAAAAGGAGGATGAAGAGAGGATCGTTAATGGGCAGGAAACTACAGTCAGATAGAACCAGTAAGTCCTGGAGTTTGATAGCATAGTAGGGTGATTATAGTTTATAAAACTTTCTGCATTCTTGATGTTTTGACATCTGAGACCTTGATGACCCTGGAGACTAGCTAATTCCTAGAGAAAGCAAAGGACTTGCCTGTGAGCATATGTATTAGATGCAAGCAAACCAGTTAAGAGCTCATACCCCCACTTCCTTCTTTTGTGGCTCTCATGCTTGGGTCACTAATCCCTATGCCCTAATCACTCTAGAACCAGGTCCCTGACAACTAGAAACAGCCCCTGCAGCCTAGAGCCCAGGGAAATTATTTAAGCTATTCCACCATAATCCTGCTCAGCCTGCTTACCTTGTCTTCCCCAACTCTTCCCATGAAAACCACAATAAAGAGTCCCACCAGCACTGCTCACTCACCCCCACCAGCTCACACTACCTCAGTGCTTCCTCAAGTGGCCTGCATAACTTATGATGCCTCCTGTTTCTAGAGCACTCTGACCATAATAAAAACTTCTTCCTTCATAGCAAGCATGTTCATGTCTGCATGTTTTTCATACCTGATTAAAACAAATCCCAGGTATCATTAAAACAGCAGCTCTAAACACCCATATGTAGACGTTTTATGATTACTCCTCGATTTCACTATTTCACTTAAAAAATTCCAAAAAGTGCAATTTCTGGACAAGGAATATACAAATATTGCATTTTTTTACTTATTGCCAAGTTGGGCTCCAGAAATTTGTGTTAATTTAAACTTCCACAGCAGTGACTGATGGTACCATTTCCCCATGATTGTGACCTTTAATTGGGAGAAAAAAACAACAAGCAACTCAAGTACCATTGGAAAACAAAATTTGGTAGCCAGGATATATTGCTTAAGTTAAAGATTATATTTTCCCCAATTAAAAATTAATGCATTCCAAGTCATTGAAAATATTAACAAAGAAGAAATCAGTTATAATCCAACAACCCCGAGACACCTGCTGTTATTGTGTTTCTGTCTTTCCATATTTATATCCTATCCCTTATTTACATTTAAATAAAAATGCTGTCATACCATTAAGAAACTCAAATCATGAACAAGTAAATGCACAGCACAGGTACAAAGAGAATAAAAATTATAATAGAACACAATGTACAATTCTGTTTAAAATATTAAGATCACAATAAAATAGACCATTTTATGCAAATGTAGACGCTGCCAAAATTGCTTGTGAAGAAGTTGCAGCTTGATGCAGTGGTCATGCTTGCTATCCCAGCACTTTGGAAGGCTGAGGCAGGCAGATCACGAGGTCAGGAGATTGAGACCATCCTGGCTAACATGGTGAAACCCTGTCTCTAGTAAAAATACAAAAAAGTATCCAGGAGTGGTGTCACATGCCTGTAGTCCCAGCTACACTGGAGGCTGGGGCAGAATTGTTTGAACCCAGGAGCAGAGGTTGAAGTGAGCTGAGACTCCAGCCTGAGTGACAGAGTGAGAATACATCTCAGAAGAAGAAGGAGGAGGAGGAGGAGGAGGAGGACGAGGAGGAGAAGAACTAGTTGTTGCAACTGGCATGGATTAGTAACTTTGGAAAAATAGGAGAAAGAGAAGTATCTACCCCAAAGCCTCCAGGTTTGAAATGTTTTACAAATAAGTTACTCAGACTTTTAGAAAATAAAATTCCCAACCTATATAAACAGTTTTGAAACTCAGAAAAGGAAGGAGGAAGTCGCTTCCAAGATGGCCAAATAGGAACACCTCCGGTCTACAGCTCCCAGCGAGATCAATGCAGAAGACGGGAGATTTCTGCATTTCCAACTGAGGTAACTCGTTCATCTCATTGGGACTGGTTGGACAATGGTTGCAGCCCACAGAGGGTGAGCTGAAGTAGGGTGGGGCATCTCCTCACCCAGGAAGTGCAAGGGGTCGGGGGATTTACTTTTCCTAGCCAAGGAAAGCCATGAATGACTGTACCTGGAGGAACAGTACACTTCTGCCAAAATACTGTGCTTTTCCTACAGTCTTCACAACCAGCAGACCAGGAGATTCCCTCCTGTGCCTGGCTCAGCAGGTCCCACACCAACAGAGCCTTGCTCACTGCTAGTGCAGCAGTCTGAGATCACCCTGGGATGCTGGAGCTTGGCAGGGAGAGGGGCGTCTGCCATTGCTGAGGTGGGAGTAGGCGGTTCTAAGCTCACAGTGTAAACAAAGTGGCAGGGAAGCTCGAACTGGGTGGAGCCCACCACAGCTCAGCAAGGCCTACTGCCTCTCTAGATTCCAACTCTGGGGGCAGGGCATATCTGAACAAATGGCAGCAGACAGCTTCTTCAGACTTAAATATCCCTGCCTGACAGCTCTGAAGAGAGCAGTGGTTCTCCCAGCACAGTGTTCAAGCTCTGAAAACAGACAGACTGCCTCCTCAAGTGGGTCCCTGACCCCCGTGTACCCTGATTGGGAGACACTTCCCAGTAGGGGCCAACAGACACCTCATACAGGCTGGTGCCCCTCTGGGATGAAGCTTACAGAGGAAGGATCAGGCAGCAATATTTGCTGTTCTGCTGCCTCCGCTAGTGATACCCAGACAAACAGTGTCTGGAGTGGACCTCCAGCAAACTCCAACAGATCTGTAGCTGAGGTGCCTGCCTGTTAGAAGGAGAACTAACAAACAGAAAGGAATATCATCAACATCAACAAACAGGATAGCCACACCAAAACCCCATCCATAGGCCACCAACATCAAAGGCCAAAGGTAGACAAAACCACAAAGTTGGGAAGAAACCAGAGCAGAAAGGCTGAAAATTCCAAAAACCAGAATGTTTCTTCTCCTCCAAAGGAATGCAACCCCTCGTCAGCAATTGAACAAAACTGGAGGGAGAATGAGTTTGATGAATTGACAGAAGTAGGCTTCAGAAGTTGGGTAATAACAAACTTCTCTGAGCTAAAGGAGCATGTTCTAACCCATCACAAGGAAGCTAAAAACCTTGAAAAAAGGTTAGATGAATGGATAACTAGAATAACCAGTGTAGAGATGAGCTTAAAACACTTGATAGAGCTGAAAACCACAGTTCGAAAACTTCATGAAGCATACACAAGCTTCAATAGCAGATTAGATCAAGCAGAAGAAAGGATATCAGTGATTGAAGATCAAATTAATAAAATAAAGTGAGAAGACAAGATTAGAGAAAAAAGGGTGAAAATAAATGAACAAAGCTTCCAAGAAATATGGGACTATGTGAAAAGACCAAATCTACATTTTGATTGGTGTACCTGAAAGTGACGGGGAGAATGGAACCAAGTTAGAAAAAACTCTTCAGGATATTATCCAGGAGAACTTCCCCAACCTAGCAAGACAGGCCAAAATTCAAATTCAGGAAATACAAAGAACACCACAAAGATACTCCTCAAGAAGAGCAACTCCAAGACACATAACTGTCAGATTCACCAAGGTTGAAATGAAGGAAAATATGTTAAGGGCAGACAGAAAAGTCCGGTTACCCACGAAAAGAAGCCCATCAGAGTAACAGCAGATCTCTCTGCAGAAACCCTACAAGTCAGAAGAGAGTGGGGGCCAATATTCCACATTATTAAAGAAAAGAATTTTCAGCCGAGAATTTCATATCCAGCCAAACTAAGCTTCATAAGTGAAGGAGAAATAAAATCCTTTACAGGCAAGCAAATGCTGAGAGATTTAGTCACCACCAGGCCTGCCTTACAAGAGCTCCTGAACAAAGCACTAAACATGGAAAGGAATAACTGGTACCAGCCATTGCAAAAACATACCAAATTGTGGAGACCATTGACACTATGAAGAAACTGCATCAATTAATGGGCAAAATAACTAGCTAGCATCACAAATGACAGGATCAAATTCACACATAACAATATTAACCTTAAATGTAAATGGGCTAAATGCCCTAATTAAATGACACAGGCAAATTGGATAAAGAGTCAAGACCCATCAGGGTGCTGTATACAGGAGACCCATCTCATGTGCAAAGACACACATAGTCTCAAAATAAAGGGATGGAGAAAGAACTACCAAGCAAATGGAAAGCAAAAAAAGGCAGGGGTTGCAATCCTGGTCTCTAATAAAACAGACTTTAAACCAACAAAGATCAAAAGAGACAAAGAAGGCCATTACATAATGGTAAAGGGATCAATTCAACAAGAAGAGCTAACTATCCTAAATATATATGCATCCAATACAGGAGCACCCAGATTTATACAGCAAGTTCTTAGAGACCTACAAAGAGACTTAGACTCCCACACAATAATAATGGGAAGCTTTAACACCCCACAGTCAATATTAGACAGATCAATGAGACAGAAAATTAACAAGGATATTCAGGACTTGAACTCAGCTCTGGACCAAGTGGACCTAATAGACATTTACAGAACTCTCCACCCCAAATCAACAGAATATACATTCTTCTCAGCATCACGTCACACTTATTCTAAAATTGACCACATTATTGGAAGTAAAACACTCCTCAGCAAGTGTAAAAGAATAGAAATCAAATCAAACTGTCTCTCAGACCACGGTGCAATCAAATTAGAACTGAATATTAAGAAACTTACTCAAAACCACAAAACTACAGGGAAACTGAACAACCTGCTCCTCAATGACTACTGGGTACATGATGAAATGAAGGCAGAAATAAAGGTGTTCTTTGAAACAAGGAGAACAGAGACACAATATACCAGAATCTCCAGGACACATTTAAAGCAGTATGTAGAGGGAAATTTATAGCACTAAATGCCCACAAGAGAAAGCAGGAAAGATCTAAAATCGACACCCTAACAACACAACTGAAAGAACTAGAGGGCCAGGCATGGTGGCTCATGCCTCTAATCCCAGCACTTTGGGAGGCCAAGGCGGGCAGATCATGAGGTCAGGAGATCGAAACCATTCTGACTACCAAGGAGAAACCCCATCTCTATTAAAAAAATACAAAAAATTAGCCAGATGTGGTGGTGGACACCTGTAGTCCCAGCTACTCGGGAGGCTGAGGCAGGAGAATGGTGTGAACCTGGGAGACCAAGCTTGCAGTGAGCCGAGATAGTGCCACTGCACTCCAGCCTAGGTGACAGAGCAAGACTGCATCTCAAAAAAAAAAAAAAAAAAAAAAAAAGAACTAGAGAAGAGCAAACAAATTCAAAAGCTAGCAGAAGACAAGAAATAACTAAGATTAGAGCAGAACTGAAGGAAATAGAGACATGAAAAACCTTTCAAAAAATTAAAGAGTCCAGGAGGTTATTTTTTGAAATGATGAACAAAATAGACAGCTAGCAAGACTAATAAAGAAGAAAATAGAGAATAATCAAATAGATGCAATAAAAATGATAAAAGGGATATCACCACCGATCCCACAGAAATACAAACTACCACCAGAGAATACTATAAACACCTCTATGCAAATAAACTAGAAAATCTAGAAGAAATGGATAAATTCCTGGACACATACACTCTCCCAAGACTAAACCAGGAAGAAGTTGAATCTCTGAATAGACCAATAACAGGTTCTGAAAGTGAGACAATACTTAATAGCCTAGCAACAAAAAAAAGTCCAGAACCAGAGGGATTCATGGCCAAATTCTACCAGAGGTACAAAGAGGAGCTGGTACCCTTCCTTCTGAAACTATTCCAATCAATAGAAAAAGAGGGGCCGGGCGCGGTGGCTCACGCCTGTAATCCCAGCACTTTGGGAGGCCGAGGCGGGCGGATCACGAGGTCAGGAGATCGAGACCATCCTGGCTAAAACGGTGAAACCCCGTCTCTACTAAAAATACAAAAAATTAGCCGGGCGTAGTGGCGGGCGCCTGTAGTCCCAGCTACTTGGGAGGCTGAGGCAGGAGAATGGCGTGAACCCGGGAGGCGGAGCTTGCAGTGAGCCGAGATCCCGCCACTGCACTCCAGCCTGGGCGACAGAGCGAGACTCCGTCTCAAAAAAAAAAAAAATAAATAAAAAAAAAAAAAAAAAAAAAAAAAAGAAAAGAAAAAGAGGGAATCCTCACTTGTTGGGAACAGGCCCCCAAATATGGCCATAACTGGCCCCAAAACTGGCCATAAACAAAATCTCTGCAACACTGTCACATGTTCATGATGGCCATGATGCCCACACTAAAGGTTGTGGGTTTACCAGAATGAGGGCAAGGAACACCTGGCCCACCCAGGGCAGATAACCGCTTAAGGCATTCCTAAGCCACAAACAATAGCATGAGCGATCTGTGCCTCAAGGACATGTTCCTGCTGCAGATAACTAGCCAGAGCACATCCCTTTGTTTCGGCCCATCCCTTTGTTTCCCGTTTTAGTTAATCTGTAATCTATAGAAATAATGCTTATCACTGGCTTGCTGTCAATAAATATGTGGGTAAAACTCGGTTCATGGCTTTCAGCTCTGAAGGCTGTGAGTCCCCTGATTTCCTACTCCACATGCTATATTTCTGTGTGTGGGTCCTCTAGCGCCGCTGGGTTAGGGTCTCCACAACCAAGCTGGTCTTGGCAAGTGGCACTGAACGTGGGGCTCAAACCCAGGTTAAAGGGTCACTGGAGCGATGGTTAGAGAACATGGAACTAAGCTGGAGGACACCTGAGTACTCTTAAGCAATCCCCATGGTGAGTAAGAAGGGGAGCTTGGAAGAATCAGGGTAACAATGGGACAAGTGTGGGCTCTGGTTCATTCCACCTTGGAACCTTTTCACACCGATGATGAGTAAGAAGGAAAGTATAACACAGTAACAGAAGAGGTGGCAGAGCAGGTTTGTTGGCCAGCTAAAGCTAAAGCAGCAAAGGAGGAAGAGGTTCATCCCTACCCTTCTGCACCCCCTCATTATTTTGAAGAAAAAGAGTGGCCTGACTCTCCAGATCTTTCTTTTCCAGAGAACACTGGGCAAAAAGTAGTTGCCCCAGTGACTGTTCAAGCAGCGCATTGAGCTACTGCTCTCAGTTCTATTAAGGCAGGAATCCAGCAAGCTAGATGAGAGGGTGATATGGATTCTTGGGAGTTCCCTGTTAGGATACACCCCCCAGATCAACAGAGAAATATTATAGCTACATATGAGCCTTTTCCTTTTAAATTACTCAAAGAATTTAAGCAAGCTATTAATCAATATGGACCAATTTCTCCTTTTTTAATGGGACTGTTAAAGAATGTTGCTGTCTCCAGTCAGATATTGCCAGCAAGAATGATAGGATTACTTCTAGGTAGGTCTAGTTTAAATTTGAAAGGAGTACAAGTACAAACAGGAGTCATTGATTCAGATTATAATAGGGACATTCAAATTGTTATATATACTTATGTTCCCTGGAAAGCAGAGCCAGGAGAGCGTATAGCACAGCTCCTGATTGTGCCATTCATGGAAATGTGGAAAAGTGAAATTAAACGAACAGGTGAATTTGAAAGCACAAATAAGCAAGGCAAAGCAGCTTACTGGGTGAATCAAATTACTGATAAATGTCCTACCTGTGAAATAACTATTCAGGGAAAGAAATTTAAAGATTTGGTAGATACAGGAGTGGACATTTCAATCATTTCTCTACAGCACTGGCTGTCCACATGGCCAATTCAACATACTCAATTTAACATAGTTGGAGTTGGTAAAGCCCCTGAAGTATATCAAAGTAGTTATATTTTGCATTGTGACAACCTGGGACTATTCAACCAATTATAACTTCTGTGCCTATAAATTTATGGGGAAGATATTTATTATAACAGTGGAAAGCACAAGTTCTAATTCCAGAGCAATTAAATAACCCTCAAAGTCAACATATGATGCATGAAATGGGGTCTGTCCCTGGTATGGGACTAGGAAAAAATTTGCAAGATTTGAAGGAACCACTTCAAGTGGAAAGACAAAGTTCCCGCCAAGGTTTAGGATATCATTTTTGATTGTGGCCGTTGTTAAGCCTCCAGAACCTATAGCTTTACAATGGTTAAAAGAATAAGCCAATTTGGATAGAACAATGGCCACTGAGTAAAGAGAAACTGGAGGCTTTAGAGGACTTAGTTACCGAACAACTAGAAAAAAGACACATAACCCCAACATTTTCCCCCTGGAATTCTCCAGTCTTTGTTATTAAGAAAAAATCAGGTAAATGGAGAATGTTGACAGATCTTAGAGTCATTAATTCAGTTATACAACCTATGGGGACATTGCAGCCAGGACTGCCTTCTCCTGCTATGATTCCAAAAAAATGGCCTTTAATAGTCATAGATTTAAAAGAATGTTTCTTTCCTATCCCTTTAGCTGAGCAAGACTATGGATGGTTTGCATTTACAATTACTGCAGTAAACAACCTGCAGCCTGCTAAGCATTTTCACTGGAAAGTGTTGCCACAAGGCATATTAAATAGTCCAACAATTTGCCAGACTTATGTAGGGCAAACAATTGAACCTACTCTTAAAAAATTTTCACAGTGCTACATTATTCATTATATGGATGATATACTTTGTGCTGCCCCCACTTGAGAAATATTACTCCAATGTTATGATCACTTATAAAATTTGATTTCTCACATTGGTTTAATTATAGCTCCTGACAAAATTCAAACTACTACTCCTTACTCCTACTTGGGGACCTTAGTAAATGACACTACCATTGTGCCACAGAAAGTAGCCATATGTAGGGGTCAATTGAAGACATTAAATGACTTTCAAAAATTACTAGGGGACATTAATTGGATATGACCTACTCTAGGAATTCCTACCTATGCCATGAGTAATCTATTTTCTATCCTTAAAGAGATCCTAGTCTCACTAGCCCTCAGCAATTAACAAAAGAAGCTGAGGCAGAGCTGCAGCTGTCAAAAAGCAAGCCCATAAAGCTAAAATAAGTAGAATAGATCCAGAGAAGACTTGAGATTTGCTAATTTTTTCAACTCATCATTCACCTACTGGTGTTATTGTTCAAGAGCAAGATCTTGTAGAGTGGCTTTCTCTTCCACATACTTATTCATGGGCTCTAACTCCTTATTTGGATCAAATTGCTACTATGATAGGAAATGGGAGGACACGGATTGTTAAATTGCATGGATATGATCCAGGAAAAATTATTGTCCCTTTCATGAAGGCACAAATACAGCGAGCTTTTATAAATAGTCTTACTTGGCAAACTGATTTAGCTGACTTTGTGGATATTCTCGATAATCATTTTCCTAAAACAAAACTGTTTCAATTTTTGAAATTAACTAATTGGATTCTCCCTAAAATAACTAAATTTAAACCAATTGAAGGTGCTGAGAATGTTTGTACCGATGGGTCTAGTAATGGTAAACCTTCTTATTCTGGCTCGATAGGTAAAGTTTTTCAGATGCCCTATACTTCAGCTCAAAAAGTGGAGCTTGTAGCTGTAATTGATATATTGACTGCTTTTAATATGCCTATTAATGTGATTTCTGATTCTTCATATGTGGTTCATTCTACACAGTTAGTTGAAAATGCTCAGTTATGATTTCATACAGATGAATAACTGATGACTTTATTTATTTATTTACCCAATTGCAAACAGCAGTTAGGAGTAGAATGCACCCTTTTTACATTACTCATATTAGGGCTCATACATCTCTTCCAGGACCTTGACTGCAGGGAATCAAATAGCTGATCGCCTAGTTGTTACTGCAATATCTAATGCTAGACATTTTCACAACTTAACCCATGGCACATGTATAGCTATGTAACAAACCTGCACATTGTGCACATGTACCCTAGAACTTAAAGCATAATGATAAAAAAAAGAAAAAGAAAAGGAAGGAGGAGATAAGACAAAAGGTTTCAAAAGCAAAAGACTCAAGAAGCTATAAATAGATAAACTTTGATTGTGGACTGCATCATTATTATCCTCCTTACATATGTGCTGTCACTGTTATTCTATACAATTTACTCATGAAGATGTCATAGATTTTTGAGCTTATTCTCTCAAAATCACATTCTATTTATTAGGCTGAAAGGTTTTTTTTAACTCTTTCTGACAGCCTTCTCATCACTCTTGAGGACTGAGTACTACTCAGACACAAACTTGGCTTTCTAAGACAGTCTACTCTTTGCAGGCTATAATAGGTGTGTCACACAGCATACTGAGGAAGATATTTAAAATATGGCTTTTGTTGGAAATTTATATTCATTCCCAAATTTATATTCAAATTTATATTCATTCCGAAAACCTTCTATGCCTTCTCTCCCATCATAGTAGAAATTTAGTGATTATTTTTTCTTTCTTGTTTTCAAAAGCGCAGGGTAGTTAAAATATTCAGTTTAATATATTTAAGAATTATTAATCAAGATTATTTTTCCATTTCTTTCCTTTTTTAAAAAAATCAGATTGTTTCATAAAATTTCCTATGCACTGTGTAATGATTTACTTTAGTTATATGACAATTGCCTGAAGAACAAGATTGCTTATCTCCTCTCACAATGTCATTTGCCTAACTCAAACATCATTTGCACCTAGTAGGTAAAATGTGGCACCAGTGCTTCATGGAATCAATGATCTTAAAATGTCTATTATAAGAAATAATTACATTCTACTGACTTAAAATCATTCATAAATGCCCATAGATGATAGACTGGATAAAGAAAATGTGGTACATATATGCAATGGAATATTGTGCAGCCATAAAAGGAATGAGATCATGTCCTTTGCAAGGACATGGATGGAGCTGGAAGCCGTTATCCTCAGCAAACTAACACAGGAACAGAAAACCAAACACCGCATGTTCTTATTTATAAGTGGGAACTGATTGATGAGAACACATGGACACACGGCAGGGAACAACACACACTGGGGCCTGTTGGTGGGCTGGGTCAGGGGAAGGAGAAGATCTGGAAAAATTGCTAATGAATGCTGGGCTTAATACTCAGGTGACGTGTTGATCTGTGCAGCACAGCACCATGGTACATGTTTACCTATGTAGCTAACCTGCACATATTACACATGTACCCCGGAACTTAAATTAAAAATTAAGGGAAAAAAATCATTCATTATGCTAGACAGAATGATAGTCTTCTATAAAAGATAAATTGTCTCTGGGTATTAGAAGGGAAAATATAATAATGGATGAATTATCTACCTCTCCAAAAAATCCTTAAAAATTAGATTGGTTTTACTTCAAAAGCTTTTTTTATAAAGTTAATATCCTATCTTGAAATTTTTAAATAATCTTATCTTTTATGCATATAACAAATGCTTAGTCTATTAATGGCTTGATGTTATGATAACATATGCTCTTTGAAATCAAGAGATGAAAGACATTTAGCAGAGCACATTTTTATTATATTTCATTATTTTTGCATATAATGCTGTAATGACCACATCTGCTAAGAATTTTTTGAGACACCAAAAATAAAATATAAAAATAATAAGAAGGTGTTCTGAAGAGCTAAGCAGCATTCTTCTTTGTTTTTTCCTACCTAACAATAAATTGGGAGATCATCCTATGCTGGTACATATGTCTACTCATTCTTTTTAATGACTACTCACCATTACTTCATAGCATGGCGTGGTCATTAATGAACACTCATAGTTTTTCATTATTATAAATAATGCAGCAGTGAACAAAAAAATGCATACATTTTTACATGTGTGTACTTCTGCCAAAGAAATTTCTAGAAGTAGAATTGCTGATTCAAAGAACATATAGATTTTTGTTTTGATGGATACTGCCAAATGTTTTATAATAAGGCCATATAAAGGTAAATAATATAAAAGCACCATACAATATAAGAAACATCATATTAAGTTTATTGCTAAGCTAGACAAAAAAGTAAGGGACTCCAAAGACAAACTAAGAAGGTGAGAGCCATAGATTAAAAGAGCACCCAAACTGATTTTTGCTGTAAAAAAACTCTAGTGACCTTCAAACTCTAGTGATCTTATAACTCTTTTTTTAGAGCTACATGGACCACAGGTAAAATCCAGGGCCCAACCAAAGTAGGAATCAAATAGAAAATCCCCCACATAAAGCTGGAACCCTCAAAGGCCTAGAGGTTCACTATAAGGGTGAACGAGAGATAAACTCTCAGCTGGAAACTTTCTTCTCTTGACTCTTATACTTCTTATACTTGGTAGAAGGCAAAACAAATTACCTTGAGAATTTGTAAGAAGTTCTTCCTCATATAGGTTTGGGTCCCAGGTTCACATTACCTGTGCAATCCAAAAAACTGTCAAGTGGATTATTTAATTTACTACAGTCTAGGATAACGAGTGCCCCAGAGAACTAGCAGAAAGAAATGAAAATCCTCTATGAAAGACTGTAATTTCAAGGCAGATCTCAAAGCATTTCCAAAAATAAAATTTCAAAGACATTAATTTGTGTTCAACATCATTCATCAGAAACATACATGGAGAATAAGCACCATGAGTGAGAGCCAGCAGAAAAAAAACAGACATCAAACTCAGATCGCAAATGCTTCTGAGCATAAAATTTGTATGTTTAATATGTAACAAGAAATAAAACTGAGTCTTAAAACATAAGCAAGAAATATAAAATCTTAATTACAACCAAAGATTTGAAAAATAATGCAGTAGAATGACTAGAAATATAAAACTCAAGGATGACTGAAACAAAAGTATAGACACAGCTGAAAATAGAGCTACTGAACTGGAAGTGATCCAAGAAGCCACTTCCAGAATGCACTCCAGGAAAACTAAGAGATAAAAAAAATAGAAATTAAGAGATACAAAGGATAAAATGATAAGATCTATCTTACATCCAATTGAAATTCCAGAAGAGATAGAAGATTGATAATACTTAGACAAATATTCACAGAGATTATAACTGAGAATTTTCCAGAATTGTTGAAAGACACTAAGTTTCATATTTAGAATGATTAAAGAATCTTAAGCTAGATAAATAAAAAGAAATGAATATCTAGGCACGTTGTTGTGAAACTACAGCACATCGGGCCGGGCACAGTGGCTCACGCCTGTAATCCCAGCACTTTGGGAGGCCGAGGCAGGCAGATCATGAGGTCAGGAGATTGAGACCATCCTGGCTAACACAATGAAACCCTGTCTCTACTAAAAATACAAAAAATTAGCCAGGTGTTGTGGCAGGTGCCTGTAGTCCCAGCTAGTCGGGAGGCTGAGGCGGGAGAATGGCGTGAACCCAGGAGGCAGAGCTTGCAGTGAGCAGAGATCGTGTCACTGCACTCCAGCCTGGGCAACAGAGTGAGACTCCATCTCAAAAAAAAATAAAAAGAAACTACAGCACATCAAAGACAAAGAGAAGATCTTAGAAGCAGCTGGAGAAAAAAAAGCGCTGTTTACTTATAAAGAAAAATAGTTGGACTAATGGATGATAGAACACAGTGGAATAATATTTTTGAGTCAACCTAAAATTCCGTATGCAAACTTGGAATTATATAACCACTGAAACTGACAAGAGTAAGAGTGATAGAACTCTTACTCTGGATATTAGTACATCCAGAATTTACAAAGAACTCAAACAAATCAGCAAGAAAAAAACAATCCCATCAAAAAGTATGCTAAGGACATCAATAGACAATTCTCAAAAGAAGATAAAATAATGGCCAACAAGCATATGGAAAAATGTTCAACATCACTAATTATCAGGGAAATGCAAATCAAAACCACAATATAATACCACCTCACTCCTGCAAGAATGGCCATAATCAAGAAATCAAGAAAGAATAGATGTTGGCATGGACACAGTGAAAGGGGAACACTTTTACACTGTTGGTGGGAATGTAAACTAGCACAACCTCTAGGAAAACAGTGTAGAGATTCCTTAAACAATTAATAGTAGGCCAAGCGCAGTGGCTCACGCTTGTAATCCCAGCACTTTGGGAGTCCGAGGTGGGCAGATCATGAGGTCAAGAGATCAAGACCATCCTGGCCAGCATGGTGAACCCCCCACCCCCGTCTCTACTAAAAATACAAAAATTAGCTGGGCGTGGTGGCACACGCCTGTAGTCCCAGCTACTCAGGAGGCTGAGGCAGGAAAATCGCTTGAACCTGGGAGGCGGAGGTTGCAGTGAGCTGAGATTGCACCACTGCACTCCAGCCTGGGCAAGAGTGAGACTCCGTCTCAAAAAGAAAAAAAGAATTTAAAGTAAATCTACCATTTGATCCAGCAATCGCACTACTAGGTATTCACCAAGAGAAAAAGAAGTCATTATGTGAAAAAGATACTTCCATACACGTTTATAGCGCACAATTTGCAATTGCAAAAAATATGGAAACAGCCTAAAAATCTCATCAATCAACAAGTGGATAAAGAAAATGTGATATATATGTACCATGGAATACTACTCAGCCAGAAATACGAATGAAATAATGGCATTTGCAGCAACCTGGATAGAATTGGAGACTATTATTCTAAGTGATGTAACTTAGGAATGGAAAACCAAACATCATATGTTCTCACTCACATGTGGTCGCTAAGCTGTGAGGACGTAAAGGCATAAGAATGCTACGTTGGACTTTAGGGAATTGGGGGAAAGGGTGGGGGGTGGTGAAGGATAAAAGAGTACATATTGGGTACAGGGTACACTGCTTGGGTGATGGGTGCACGAAAATCTCAGAAATCACCACTAAAGAACTTATTGATGTAACCAAACACCACCTGTTCCCAAAAACCTATGGAAAGAAAAAAATTTAAAACAAAAAAACCTTTCATCCCCAACAGCCAAATGTAATGGAGGGACCTTGTTTGAATTCTGACTACTACCCCCATAAAAATTAAACTTTTATTAAAAAACAAATAATAAATGATACAAAGAAAATGTTAATTTTGTTAGGTGCAAATAATGGCATTGCAGACATAAGAAAGTTAATATTTTTAAAAGGTGCATACTGAAGTATGTAAAGATGAACTGGCATGAGAAATGGGATTTGCTTTAAAATATTTCAGCAAAAAAAATGAAGGGATAGAAACAAGTATTGCAAAATTGTGATACTTGTTAAATCTGGGTGACCAGAATATGAAGGTTTATTCTATCACTCTATTTTTGTGTGTGTTTGAAATTTTTCATAGTAATTTTCTTTAATTCCAACCCCACTTCTCTTCCAAGAAGCGTCTCAGTTGCCATTTAATCAGATGTCAATAGATTCCCAGACAAGGCTTGCTTACCTAGGTTAAGTTCCATTCATCTCCTTGTCTAGCCTAGCCAAGACCCAACACAAAAAAATAACATTTAAACAAACACACTGCTCCCTAAATCTTTGCTTACCTTATTATGATAAGTTTACTGAGGAGTAATTCATGAGGTACATTGATTGTTTTTCAGAAAGGTAAAACCAGGTGCATTCCATCCAGTGACAGACAAGGTGCCATTTTCACCACACCTTTGCCAATGTGGGTTTGTCATTTCTTTTTATAAAACCTCTTATAGGTGCAGTGCAGAAAGATAAACAGGATTCAACTTGTCCCAACCAAGGGGAAAGGATGTCCAAGACAGCAGAACAGCCTCAGCAAGGCACAGAGGTGGGAAAATGTGTGATTTATTTAGTTCTATGTGACCAATTCATTCATTTAATACATATTTGCCCAGAGCCTCTATAATTAAAATAATTTAGTGAGATTAGCAGTTAAAGATGTGTTAGTAGCTAATTGAGCCTTTCTTCCTGATAAAGTAAGAAGAAATGAAGGGGAATTGCTTTTTTTTAAAAAAAAGGTAACATGAAAGGAGGCATGAAAATGATTCTTCTGCAGACTTTCTGGACTATCTGCAATCTTGTGGAGGCCAGCCTCCATCTTCTCCCCTACTTCCAGGCCTTCAACACTGCACTCTGATTACCAAAACTTTAGAACTATATCGAGACCGATGACATCCAACACGTTCCTTTTATCTTGTTACCCTTTCAAAAAGTGTCATGGTTTAAAGCCCTTAGTGCAGCAGCAGATTCTCTAACAGGAATTAATAAGCTCTTCTAGAAGAATTAAAAAAGCAAGCTCCCTTTTAATAGAGGCAGAGAAGGACGCATTCACTTTCCAGTTGGGCTGAATTTCCAAAAACTTCAATAATTAGATCCCATTCTCCACAAGTCATCATGTTTATCATGGGGAGAGTAATGCCTGTTCCAGGTTAATTGGACAGAAACGATGTTCCTCTTCTGTAGTCACTGTAGTCAAATTATCCCTGCATTGCAAAGCCTTATTGCTCTGTGTTAGGTTTAAAGCCGGATTTCTCAACTCTAACTGCTTTGCTGTGTTTAATACTCGGGTTGCTCCGATTTGCTCGTCTGCGGGCGTACTTGAACATGAAGGATTGGGAAGGAGGAACAGCAAGCAATCACCGAGGCCAGGAGCCCGAGCCAGGGCGGGAAGGGGTTTTCCCACAGCAACATCGCACTAGGAGGCTTTCTAGAGGGCGGTTTGAAATCCACGGACCTCGTGGGGAGCTGAAGCAGGACCTCCGCGCGCAGGAGCAGGTTTCCGGGCACTACACACCCAGGCTCATGGTAGGCGCCCGCAGCCCAGGACGCTGAAACTCCAGCCCCACGCCGCGAGCTGACCTTCCTGGGCGACGCCAGCTGGGTGCTTGGGGCAGGCACAACGGAAAACAACTTAAAATCAGAATTCTGGATTCTGGGATTTGAGCTATCAAAGTCATTTTCAAGAAATTCATATTCTTCCTAGAGAGGGGAAAATGCAGTAATACCCCCTTAAAAGCCAGAGTCTTCAAAAATGTTGCTTTTTCAATGTTGCTTTTCAAAAAAATAACCCCTGCTTTGCTTATTCCACACGTGTGTTGATACAGACGGATAAATATATAACAATGGATACTTGATTCACATGTAAGTGCGCTATCACACATAATCTCTCATCGTTTCGGATTATTACAATCTCTCATCCTTTGAGGAAGATAAAAGGTAAATTTCCAAAGGAGTTTTAAATAGGCAAATGGGCTATACGGCGTTATAGTAATATATTGTAATATAGGGCATGTATAATACTATGTAATACACAGACAAATGTATGCATAAGGACAGAGATACAGTGCCCTCTACTGGATCAAAGTGAACTTGATGAACCTTGCCTTTGAAAGAGTTAGTTTAACAGCCCTTCAAGAGGCTATCAACACCAGAATATAAGCCTTAAAGCTAGATGATTCTTCACATCAGGTGATTCTTCTTTGGTTTGCACTAGCAGCAAGCAAAACGCTCTTACGTTGTTTTCCAATCATCCATGTTTAACAGGATTATTCAAACTGACTCCACAAATATTCTATCAGTAAAGGGACATTTGACTGATGAATTTGTTGGAGCCATCTAAGCAATCCAGACTCCGCAGTTCCCAAACTGAAAACAAACTTTCTGCATTGTGTGCTATCTGAGCGAATCAGATGTAATTTTAAAAAACAGACAGACAGGAGTTCAAGCATAGTATCCATGCTCAAAAAGTTGAGCAATTCAAGACATTAGGCAAATTGAGAAGTATTGTTTTAAAAGCAGCATGACAGCGATGACTTAAATAATACAGAAATTATCATCCTGAATAATTTGTTCTTAAGTAATACAAAAACTCCATACGAAATACACATATGCTCCTAAATAAGCTGGTAAACAAAGCTCTATGTGGATTCCCAAAATTTTGGAATAGGGATTCTGTGGTATAGAAAATGATGATTTTAAATGATAGGAAAAGGCAATTTAAAAATATTAATAGTTTCTAAAACTCCACCCACTTCAGTGTAATGGGTATGTGCCACTGAGGGACAGCTGGACACCTGGAAAATGGCTACCATTGCACTGTAAGAGTCCTCTCCGCGTAGCACTAAAAATGTCAGTGTTTCATTTTACTAAGGAGACTTTGCCTTTCCCTTGTGTTGATCTGCATCTCATCTCCTGGCCACTAAGTACAAAGACCCACTATGTTAACCTTCCACACATTTTCAGAAACCGGACAGAGCTTATTATAGAAGTGCCGACACAGCCAAAGTAAGCCAGTTGGGAAATCAGATGCCTGTCTCCTTGATGCAGGAAATTCAAAGAGAAGATGTCAGGTTGATCGCAATCTCATCCCAACCTCTGCTGCAAAGAAGCATGGAAGAGGAATTTTCTAGAGCCTCTCAGCCATCCCTATAATTAGCATGGAAATTTGTGAATCATTCCTGGCAGAAGAAACATGGCTGGAGGTGAGGCCCACCCCCTCTGTCCGGGTTTCCCAGGGGAGGCTCAGGTAGTAATATGGTACATTTTCGCTCTACAGCTCAACCATTGTGTGAAAATGTTGACTCTCCCACGGAGCTCACTCCTGTCCAAGGTAGAATACAGTGAGGAAAGGCCACCAAGCCCTCCCTGGGCAGCGGTTCTCACAGCGTAGTAAATACGGGGGCCCCCTATGAGCTGTGGAAAATCTGGAGTCCACACCTGCTCCTGAAATTCTGGTTCAGCGGGTCTGGGAAAGAGCCCAAGAATCTGCATTTTAACAAGCCGCTAGCATCATCTGGTGCAGATGATCCATGGACCACACTTTAGAAACTGCCTGAAGAAGTGAAGAAGCATATTTGGCCAAATACTCTGACATCTTAAGACCTTCTCTTTATGAGCATCCATCTTCTAATGAGATCCTCATGGAATAAAAACTCCTTTGTACTGATTTCTGTCCTTGCCTAAATAGTATTATAATGAACGTAGCTATAACTTTGAAATTCAACCAGATGACAGGATACAGGACCTTCTGCCAGTGCAGACACCCCCAGGACACTTTGTGATCCCAGGCTAGCCCCTGCCATGCTTTTTATTTTCTCCATTGCTCTAGGATTGGATTTTCTGCTCCTGTCTTAAACGGACCTTCATTGATTCTTTGTGGCCAGACTCTTCTCCCTGCAGCACTGCAGAATATGCAGTCTCATTGCTTTCCCACACCTAGCCTGTCTCAAGAAGTGCACAAGACATTTGAGGGTTTCCTTGAAGCTTTATTATAAACAATGAGGAAGAGACAAGAGGAAAATAAATATGAACAGATAATTAAAGAGAAATATCACAGTCTTATGCAAAAGTTACTCCCAAATTCCAGTTTCCCTTTTAGCAGCTATGGACTCTATAGTAATAATGCCTATTTTATTGATTCTCTCCATGTTTATTTTCTTCCTTCTTTCCTTCCTTTCTTTTTCTTCCCTCTCTTTCTCCCTCACACAGACTTGCACTGGGCATAACACATAGTGGGCCTGATGGTAGAATCCACAAACAGTCAGCAGTGAGTTAAAGTTCTACAAAGCACCAAAGAATGGAGGCTTCCAGGTGAGATTTCACTAAGAGCTAGTATTAGAAGAGTCTGGGAGAAGAGTAGATTGAGCACATTGTGGGGAAAATGAATTCCCAACAGCAGAGAGAACCGCCACATACAAACCACGAGAAATCAAACATGTCACATTCTGGGAACCCAGTAGTTCAGCAGAGTTGGAACACAGAGTGCATTGGAAAATGCTGGAAATTACACTGGAATGGTAGGTCGGGTCAGCTCCTGAAGGGCCACATGGACTCCAGTAATGAGTGGGGATTTAGACGATAAACCATATGACTTTTCATAGCCTACACAGTTGGCACTTTTATAAATCTAATAATTTAAGGTCCATGCAAATGAGGGAGGAGGCAGGGTTAGTAATAACCATTACAGGATAGGAGGCATAAACCTGGGCTGTCTTGGGAGAAAGCAGATGACCACTCTATCCATAGGGTGTTGAGGCTTGGGTGATGAGGTTCCTTGATTCATATCTTCCTCCTCTTGGCGAGAAAGTCTTCATGTTAAGGATTTCATCCACTTTGGCAGCTAAATACCATCGGGAAAAATACTTCAGGGCAAAACCCTGAAGCGCTGTCTTCGAGTTCTTTTTTTCTTCACAAGGAAAGGCTCTCCTAGGCATTTTCTTGATTTAAAAGATAATAGCTTCTTGAATAGAAGGTTGGAATCTTTCAATATATGATTGATGATACTGACCGCTATGTGACTTCCTTAATCCATACTTTTAAAATTCTTCTATAGTGAACGAGAGCTTGAGTCCCTACATGATTTTAAAGATGCAAGGTATGTGACTTCTTAAATATGAAGAATGCCTTATGTGTTTTGAAAATTGGCTGCATTTTATATTAAAACAGAGTTCTTCAATAGTCTGCATTATCTTGGGAATCTAATAGTACTCACCTATTGCTATCAATATCATCATGACAGTCTGACTCCTAAATTAATTTAAGGAGCCAGTAAGAGGGATGGGTCAGTTCTCGGATCTGCTTCCCTTGGCTGGTGGGGCTGCAGAGGCTGTCTGCATCCTTCTTGGGCTGGAAGGGTGCGTATGACCTTCCAGCTGCCACATGGGCTCAGTCATTTTTCTGCTCATGAACAACAAGAAAAAAAAATCACAAATTAAACAAGTGTTTGGTATCGCTCCAGGGTTTAGAATGAAATATCTTTTTCCAAGGACTAAAGAGTCTCAGTGGCAGACATATTGTGATGTTATTTCCCTTTCAAAGCTCTTAATCCTTTTTTCCCAGTGAGGCAGATGTGTACTAAATGAACATTAGTTGGGTCCCACTCAGGGCCAGGTCAAGGAGGAGTTCAGCTCTGGTAATGAGAAAATACGACCTCTTCTGGATTTCTCTACAAAGGTCACGTTGTCCTGCTCTGACAAATCATTTTCATGTGGCCAATTATAAGAGGTGCTCTAGAACCATGATTCACAAACTTGAGATTGTATTAGTTTGTGTTCACTAGGCCTGTGGGGGGACCTGAGATTCAGAATTTCTCAAACTCCTGACCTCAGGCAATCCACCAGCCTCGGCCTCCCAAAGTGCTGGGATTACAGGCATGAGCCACCGCACTCAGCCATCAGATTCAATATTTCTAACAAGCTTCTGGATGATGCCAATGCCACAGATCCACAGACCACACTTTGAGTCCCAAGTGTCTCGAATATATTCAGAAACAAAAACATCAGTGTTTCTGAGATTTTTCAGTGGTAATAGAGACATCAATCCAGAAAGATGAAGATGTTGAATCGGTCCAGAATATCTGAGATGAGTGGTTCTTTCTCTGCATGCAGTGTCTCTTAGAACCAGATGCAGTTTACGAATCATCACAATTTCTTACACAATTGTTTGGGCAAACCTTACTTTGGATCCTCAGGTAACACAGGGGCTTGATCTCTGGTGTTACTGTTGCTCATATTCTGTATGCCTTTCCCATTCCATGGTGCCCATTCTCCTTTCCCTTTCCCATCCCTCCCCTCAAGCTGACTTCCCGCCTTTATCCACATCAAATGCTTCTCAATCTTGTTCCTCAATTCCCTTGCCCCTAAAAAAATTATTTCAGGGGAAAACTCTGACCAATTAATCTTCATGTGCACAATCACAGCTTAATGAGGTGTCAGCCTAAGCTAAAAGGATGGCTGTCTAGAGGCAGAATTCCAAATACCAGCCAGGGGCAGGAAAATAACATGCAGAAGCATTAAGGTCTTTCCAGCAGTGGCCTGGATCCATCCCAGTGTACTTGAGTCTACATCCAGACCCCCCTATGGCCTTGGTTTTCTCAGCCCCACCCCAGACAGAGCCTCTGTCCCCAGAGTGGTCCTAGACCCTGACTTAGGGCCACCATGGCCTACACAGGCCCCGGCCAACACCTCAGAATTGGTTTTATGCAGGCATCTGATGCCCTGTTGGGTATTGCATTCCTGTTATTTAATTCAAATTATCTAAATGGGAATTTCTAATCTCAAATTTATTTATTCATATTTACAGAGGCAATGGAGCCAGAAAACCCCCTAAGGGAAATCTTCTAACCGCTATAGAACATCAGACTCTGCTACAGCCGAAGGCAGGAGAGCCCTCTATGTATTCCTCATTGTCAGGTGCATTACTTCTGTCAAATGTCGGCAAGTGAGGAGAGGCAGAATAGATGGCAGACCTCAGTTTCCTCACCTCTCTCCTCTGTGTCCTCAAGAGCACCCCTACCTACTAGCTCAACAGAAAAATACAATGGTTCTTGCATCACCTCGGATGGATTTCTGGGGTTCAACCTCTGGGCCTGGGTCACTGGGGCCACGCTAGGAAAAGCCATTGCTATAGGTTGCTCCATCTGTCCACCATGTCATTTATGAGGTAAAGAAAATATTGAATTGAGATACCAGGACTATGAATCCAGATGCCCAGCCGGTGGAAAGACCAGTAATGAGAAAACAGAGCTGACTTCTTCCAGCAAAGCTAGGAAGTGGCAGGGGAATGTAAGAAACAGCTGCTCAATTTTGGCAGCTGCAGTGAAGGGCAATGTTATGGAATGTCAAAAAGTGGCATATTTCATTGCAGCTCCTCCACTGGCCTTTAATGATTCAGGAGCAGAGCCATCTTTAACGACACTTGGCTTGTTCTCTGGTTTAAAGGCAAATAAAATGTCCTCATTTCATCAGCCTTTCCAGAGAAGGAAAATTTGAAAAACTGGAGAGAAAAGGATCATGGTCTAAATCTGTCCTTCTCATGCACCACTTGTATATTGGTTTGTTACCTGGGAGGACCACGGACAAGATCCTCTCCTCCACCTTTGCCCGTGAAATGATTTTCTACTTTGCTTTGAGAACCTCCACTGAGATATTTTCAGATCCCATTTCTACCTTGGTATCTAAATACTCTAATTAATGTGGATCATAATTTGAGGATATTATAGTAAGTCAAAACTGAGAGAATTTTTACAACCAGTAACTCCATCTAGGAACTTGTTAATTCAACCATGAACAAACTTCATCATCATCAGTTATGGCATATTCACTTAAATGAGCTCTGTCCTTAAAAGTGTCGTCACTACAAAAGTCATTAAATGCAGGGTATGAAAATGTTTTCTCATAGTACAGTTCTGTATACATAGCACGACTAAAGAGGAGGATGTGATGATTATTGTATTTGATCAAACTCAAAGTAAATCAACTAATATTGTTAAATAAGTCAACCTAAACCTTGCAACTTATAACTTTTACTGAAGGTTTGCCAGACCTAGGTTCAACAGAAGAATCTCAAAGTTTCTTTAATTGACAGCATTTCTGTTATTACAACACTGTATATCGTGTGTCACAAAAAACAGATTATATTATACAAAATCCATAATTTTCACTCAAGATGCTGAGATTTTGAGGCACTTGGCTTGTCAATATCAATTCTGAAGTGCATCACATATACTTTATCATATTTGACTAATAAAGTACTTGAGTTTTTAAATAATTTGCCTTTTATTTTGGCCACATGTGTGTTAAAGCAAATTCAAGATTACTCCTAATATGGCATCACTGTTTTTCACAGTCCTTCTGAATTGTTGTCTTCAGAGAGAGAGAAGGAGAGGAAGGTGATCATGGAGAAATGACTATTGAGTCAATACCGTGCACAATCAATGAGAAACAACCATTGTAAATACCATCAATTGCGTTTAAATGGGCTCCTGTGACTACCCATTTCATTCATGAGGGGATCTCCCACAGTGTTCCCAGCCGGTATATTCCAAAAGCAAGCCAGATGTGGAGCTGTTCTTACAGCCCACCCACTCTGAGGAAAAGTTAGACACGGGCCATGAAAGCCACCTACCCCAGCTGAGCAGATAAAATGGTGAGACACCCACCAGGAAGTTGGACAGTGATCCACATAATTGCTGGCCGAAACTACACAATCTTCCCAAATTAACCAACGTGGATTTTAACTGTAAGAATACAAACACAAAATGAAATATTTGAGCAAGCTAAACAATTGGTTCTCACCAAAATGAAATTAAAGCCAAAAAGGGCAGAACTTATGACGTATTCCACTTTGAATCCTCAGTGAGATTTGACAAGTTTGGGAAGACAAAACCGGATAAGCAAAGGAACAATATGAGAACAAGAAAGAACTCTCAGGAATAAAAAATAAAATAAAAAACAGATGGTAGGATTTTTCCAGCTAGAAAAATTCATAAGAGTTAGCTGGAAAACTTTTAAAAACCATACATTTTGGTAAGTTGTTGAGTTAAGAGATAATTTTAGAGTTCTTTAATCTTCCTGAATCCTCCATAAAAACAAAAAATAGGATCACAAAACCAAAAATCCACAGATAACATCTACAACAAAATGAGAGGAGATGACATTCCCAAGAACCTCAAACAGGAACAGGTGGGGACAAATACAGACGGCCATGACATCCATGTGGTATTAGCAGCCCTGCAGAAGCAAGCAGAGGGAGACAATATGGTGTCTGTCAGCCTTGAGAACAGAAGAGCCTCACAATCGCCAAGAACTTTACATTCAGGCGAACTGACCTTCAAACAGGAAGTCTGCAGAGAAGTAGCATGGATTTGCAAGAACTCAGAGAATATGTTTCCATGAGCCCTTCTTGGAACTCCACAGGAGACCAAGCTACAACCAACCAAAATGACTAGAGAGACCTTGATAATAGGATTGGAAGGAATACAGGTAACAGAAGAACATGTTAAATGACACCACAGGATTCAAATAGAAAAAACAGAATATGGGGAACTCCAGAGAAAAAAAGACCTGAATTCTTCAACAATAACAACAAGCAAAAAAAGGGAGGATAAGCCTATAGGTAAAAAAACATGTATGAGACATCCAATAATTACAATGCATGGAATTTATTTATATTCTTATTTAAAGGAACTGCTAAAAAATAATTTAAAGATATTTGGGAAATGTGAACCCTGGATATTTAATGAAATAAAGGGACTGTTGTTAGTATTACTTAAGTGTTAGAGTGGTACTGTAGTTATGCTTTTTAAGAAAGAGTCTACATCTTTTAGAAATTTATACTGAAATATGATATTTAGTCATTGCTTCAAAATAACCTGAAGTTTGTGGGAGACATGCACAGGGTATAGATGATGTGGGATTGGCTTCAGGGTGATGGGTGCTGGGCTGGGTGGTCGGAGCATGGGTATTTATCATATCTTCCCTTAGTTCAGTGTATGTTTGGAATTTTCTATAATAAAAGCTAAAACAAAACAAAAATAGACAAATTTATAAAAATCAGTAGCAAACTTTATTCCAGAAAGAATCAATTAGGTATAATGAGAGAAAAAGAGGCAAAAAAAATACATAAAATACCTAGAAATTAACTTTAAAAATGTAAAAGATGTAAAAAAAAAAAAAAAAAAAAAAAAGGAAATCACAAAACTTGACAGAGAAATATAGAAGAGCTTAATCAACAAAGAGACAGCATTTGATGCTCCATATGGGAAGCCAATATTTGAAGATATTTATCCACAAGTTTATATATCTATTTAGTGCGATGTCAATCAACATTTTAACGTGTTTTTGAACTTATTAGTTATAAAGTTCACCCATAAAGTAAAAGATAAGACAATAATGAAGAAATGTTTGAAAAGAATTAAGAAAGGGTATTTGCCTTACCAGTTAACAAAATACACTAAAATACTGGCGAAATTAAAACAGTACAATACTGTTCTGGCCCAGACAAATCAATCAATAGAACATAATAGAGACTTTTGGAAACAGCCATGGGTGTTTATAAGAATTTATTATAGGGTAAAATGGCATTTCAAATCAATGGGGAAAAGATGGATTATCCAAGAAGCACTGCCGGGACAACTGGATCCCTATTTTAAAAAGAATGAATGTTTGATTCAAACTTTGTGAAAACAGCTGCCAGACTGATCAAATACATAAATGTAAAAATTGAAACTATCAAAATATAAGAAATATGAGAAATTATTTTTTATCATTTAAAAAGTAGAAAGCATTCTTATCAAGATATTCTACAGCTATAGAGAGGGATAAAGATCACAGTGTTCTGAAATGGAAAGAACTCCAAAATATACTATTAAATGAAAAACACCAAGGTACAGAATGTGTGTATAATCTTCTACCTTTTGTGTATATAAAAGGAGGAAAAATAGACATCTATTTTTATATCTGTGTCTGTACACAAAAGTAAACTCTGGAAAGTGTATAAGCCACTAACAATAGTGGTACCTGTCACCATTGATTGAGGGGGCACTGGATGGATGGGCACAGGGGTAGGAATGAGATTTTCCATTCCAAAACTCTTGTGTTCTTTTTTCAATTTTTGAATTATGCGAATGTACTGCTCATTTTAAAAGTTAGAGAAATAAATTTGACTTTAAAAATTAAAACATTTGGCCAGGTCCGGTGGCTCATGCCTGTAATCCCAGTACTTTGGGAGGCCAAGGCGGGTGGATCATGAGGTCAGGAGATTGAGACCATCCTGGGTAACACAGTGAAACCCCGTCTCTACTAAAAATACAAAAAATTAGCCAGGTGTGGTGGCGGGGGCGCCTGTAGTCCCAGCTACTCGGGAGGCTGAGGCAGAAGAATGGTGTGAACCCAGGAGGTGGAGCTTGCAGTGAGCCAAGATCGCACCACTGCACCCCAGCCTGGGCAACAGAACGAGATTCTGTCTCAAAATTAATTAATTAATTAATACTTTCCCTATAACAGATATTATAAGCCAATTAACTTGAATAGACAAATGAGAGAACAGGGAAATGTTTATCACCTGGATGACAGAGTTAAACTCTTTACTAGACATAAAGCTGTTTAAACTAAAGAAAGGAAAAAATAAAACATCAGAATAGAAAAGCAAGAAATATATATAAATGAATAATTTGTCCCCATCCCATAAAAAGCAACCTCCAATATGCTTAAAGCCTTAGAGGAATTCAAAGTCAAATAACACCTATTTTTGCCTTTCAAATCAGCAAGATTGGTAATACCTAATGTTGGTGAGGGTGCAAGCAAAATGGTACTTCACATAGGTGGTGGTGGTGATATAAGTTGGTATTATCTGCTCTGACTACCTATGACCCCACCATCTCTGCTGAGCTGCTTCTGCTGAAGTTAGGAATGACGCCCACATCACTAATTCAGGACCACTTTTCAGCATGTGTCCTTCTTGCCACAACTTCCTTGCTTTGGCTTATATGACCCCATAGTTCCATTCATTTATTCGTTAAAAATACATGTTCCTGGAATTGTGCTAAGCCTTAGAGGTAAAATAGTGAGAGAAAACTAACCTGCTCCCCAACCACAGGGAGCTTGCAATTCTACAGGTTTTCCCTCTCTCTGGCTTCTCTTTCTCAGCCTGCCTCATTTGTCTCCACCCAGCCTGTAAGTCCTGGATTTCCCCCAGGTCCAGTCCCCTTCTCATTTAGTCTCTCCATGAGGGAGGATCACTGCCCTAGCCTGCCCCACCAATTTGCATCTAATACACCACTGAGCTGTACTCCAGAATGGAATGTATTCACTTGGATATCCCACAGGTGCTGCCAATTCAAGAGTCAAAGTGAATTCATGGTGTCACTGCCTCCCCCAGCAAGATTCCCCATCATTCCCTCGCTCAGCAAACAAATCCCTCTGTAGTCCACCATGCCTGCCAGAACTCTCCAAGTCATTCTCCACACCTTTCTCTTCCCCACACTCATGACCAGCCAACAGTCAGGTGGTTTCTATTCCACCTTTTACATTTATCTTGAATCCATCCACTTCTCTCCACCTCCACCACCACCTCCCTGGGCTAAGCTACCATCATTCTCTACAATGCAAAGGGCAATGGCTTTGTGTTGTTCCTCAAACTTGTTCTTGTCCCCTTTCCATCCGTTCATCACACTGCAGCCACCATGGTCTTTTTGAAAGCAAATATGGTCATATCACTTCTCTGATTCCAGTCTTCCCAGGGCTTCCTATTGCTCTTAGGATCAAGTCCACAGTAACCAGGACCTGCACTAGCTGGCCCTGTCTGCCTTCGTGGTTTCCTGTGAAACTCCTCTGCTTGGCAGTGATTAGAGGGATGTGGTAGATCTGTGTGCACTGACATGGAGTGATATCCATGCTGTATTATGTTGTAAAAGTAGCTTACAGAGTGATCCCATTTTTAAGTATATAGATATGTTTTAAAATTTATATATATAAATATATATGGAATTCCATATATTCCATATATATGTATAATTCCATGTATATATGGAATGACATACATTCCATATACATATATGGAATGAGGGCCATAAATATATATATATGGAATACTGGAGGCCCTCATTCCATATATATATATATTCCATATATATATATTCCATATGTATATATATTCCATATGTATATATATTCCATATGTATATATATTCCATATATATATTCCATATGTATATATATTCCATATATGTATTCCATATGTATATATATTCCATATATATATTCCATATGTATAGATTCCATATGTATATATATTCCATATGTATAGATTCCATATGTATATATATTCCATATGTATAGATTCCATATATATATTCCATATATATATTCCATATATATAGATTCCATATATATGTCCCATATATATAGGTTCCATATATATATATGTCCCATATATATAGGTTCCATATATATATGTCCCATATATAATAGGTTCCATATATATATGTCCCATATATAATAGGTTCCATATATATATGTCCCATATATATATAGGTTCCATATATATATATGTCCCATATATATATAGGTTCCATATATATATATGTCCCATATATATATAGGTTCCATATATATATATGTCCCATATATATATAGGTTCCATATATATATGTCCCATATATATATATATATAGGTTCCATATATATGTCCCATATATATATAGGTTCCATATATATATATATATATATATATATGTCCTATATATATATAGGTTCCATATATATGTCCCATATATATATATAGGTTCCATATATATATATATATATATATATATATGTTCCATATATATATAGGTTCCATATATATATGTTCCATATATATATAGGTTCCATATATATATATATATATAGGTTCCATATATATATGTCCCATATATATAGGTTCCATATATATATGTCCCATATATATAGGTTCCATATATATATGTCCCATATATATATTCCATATATATATATTCCATGTATAAATATATGGAATAGTGTTTTTATTTTATTAAATAGTGTTTTATTTATTCTGAACCTCTTCCACATTTCCTTATCTCTAAAATATATATTTGGAATATATGTAATAGTGTTATATTTGTAGACTGTGATCATGTAGGGGAGAAGTCAACTTTCTCTATTTTATACTTTGCCTTTAGATTATACAATACACATGTATGACTTTATAATCAAAACACAAAAACATTTAATTCCATTTAAAAATTTCTTTGGGAATGATGCATTTCATAGTGCTTCCGAGTTGTGATTTTATAGTTAATTTTGCTTTATTTCTTAGTTGACTTAAGTAAGGCGCACCAGTAGGTAAAGAAGCATGATTGATAGGTGCATCCAGGGCTTCAGTGCACGTAGGTAAGAAGGATGCTACCAGCGTGCTGCTTAGCACGTCCCAACTCTCATTTCAAAATCAAAGGTAGGCAAAGTGATTATCAAATGAAATCAGCAGTAATATTATTCACAGTAATAAGAGTATGTTGAAAATCAATAAATCTGCATGTTGTAATTTTTGTATGAAATAGATTTTATTTGTGTTCATTATTTAACAGCACATACTTTCTAGCTGATTAATATTACTTAAGGAGTGACAGTCTGGAAGCATCAAGTCCCTTTCTATAAGTTCAATCATTTTTTCGAAATTGGATAAGCCATATTTTCTTTGTAGGACAAGTTTTGAGACCTCCAAAAGGGCTGATTCATTACTCACATGCTTATAAAATATACTTTATGAATACCATAAAAATTGTAATGTTATTTGCTCTACTTCTCTGCCACATTTTGTGGGGATTCATAAAAATTCAGAAATATGCATGGCAATGTGTAGTGCATGAGAACACTAGTCCTCATGTGTACAGAAGCAGGAGAGAGGAAAAGGCTCAGAACTGCTGCTGGTCCCACAAACAGAGGTCAGAGCCATACACTGGGCATCACACACAGCCTTAGTCCCAGCTCCATTGCTGAGTTCTCCAGCTCCCTGTCCTCCATCAGAATATTGTTGTAATGCCAACATTGCTAGACCAAAGCTTTTACTTCAAAGGTCCTCAAATCAAAGACATATGAGATGACTACACGGACACAGGGGGGTTGTGCCCTCGACCCAACCTTAATCAGGAATCTGCTGATAGAGCAGCTCCCTATAGATACACTGGGAAATGCTCCATGGCTGTTTCCTGTTCCAATCTGATATCACCATCATTTGTCACCTGTCTGAATATCTACAGTGATGACAATGACTGTCCTGATTGGAAATTACCACAAATACTAAGTAATGTGATTCCAGAGTTTAGGAAGGGCACAGTGTCATTTTTAAAATCTCTGCCTGCCAGTATTTTTTAATACTGGAAGTTCATGAAATAAATTTAGCACAGTAAGCACTGTGTTTTCTCACAGCTGTATCACTTCTTCCATTCCATCTGAAAATGTCATGGGCAACTGTTTTGCTACTAACACAATCTATTTTCCATCTCCTGCAGCTGCTTATGGCTCCTGAGAGAGAATGGCATAGGAGAAGATATGTTGTGGTTTTTATTTCCATGTTTGTTGTTTAAAAAAAAAAATGAGGCCATTTCAAGCAGTAATGGGGGGGGGGTCTCTTCATTTGTTGGGGGTTTACTTATTTATTGGTTCCTATTTTAGTCTTTCTCTTAGCTCCTCTTTGACACACAAGGTTTGTATCTATTGGAGTCAGCGCTCTGAGGTTGTGCCTGCTCTGTGGGGTGCGTGGACCCCAATCAGCAGTACTGTGAACACAAATGCAAATGAGTGTCCTCCAGATTTAGGATTCGATCTGCACCAGAACCATTCTAGATTCCACTTTTGTCTTCCTTGGTCTTCATTCCCTTGCCTGGCTCCACTCATTGATGATAATCTCTGAATGCTCTCAAATATTTTGGCCATTGACATGGGCTGGGAATGAGCAGGTGGCTCCTGGGAGTCATTGTAGCATAGACGTAGTCAAGGGGCCACCATGCCATGTGTCTCAGCCCCCGGCTCTGCACTGGATCCACCCCTAGGGTTTTATGCATCCCAACCAGCTTGATCCCACGCATCCCCCAGGTGGTCTTTGTTGGCAAGATATCCAGTCTCCTCATGGGTGGATGGATAAAAATTCCAATTCTGAACCTCTTCCACATTTCCTTACCTCTAAAATACATTAGGCTCACCCAGGACTGAAATCTAAAACCAACACCCTCAACCACTACAGGTGTTCGTAACAGGGCCCAAAACACACACCGCTCCCTCTACCCCAGGCTACTTCCAGCTTTGTGTTGGCTGTATGGACTCGTATAAGCCCAGGGTTGCCATAAGTGATCCTAGAAAACCTAGAACCAGCCCAGAGTATGGGGGTGTGGGTAAGGATATTGGTCATCCCTGTGCACTTCCCCTCTCACCTCTGGGGCCGTGACAATACAGAACAGCCTGTCTCCTTACACTTCAGAGGGTAGGAGAAAATACAGCCTTCACATACCTCCCACCTGTGCTGCCCACCTGGCTCATTCAGATCCTGACCAGTGTAGATGGCTCGGCAACAGCCCCTTGACCTTTCCATCTCAAGGGCACAGGGAAAGAGCTGTTACATGGTTTTAAAAATGTGTGGCCACTGCATTTCCCAGTCCTCAGTTTCTCCATCTGAGAAATAAAACAGGGAAATTAGAATAAATGGTCTTTTACATCATTCCAGCACCAACGTTACAGACAAGATCTGGGTGGTGACGATGAATGTGATGCGGATCCATTTCTGGAAACCTCCTGGGCATTGTGCAGACTGATCAAACCAGCTCTTTGCATCTTGAATCCCAGCTCTGTTACAATACTGTAACAAGTGAACAATCTCTATTATTAGAATTTTTTGCTACATATCTCTAATGCTAAGTTAACAGCTGTTCATACTTTCCAACTTGAAGCATTGCAATATCTTGATATTGTCAGAGGGAAAAATAAATTTGGTTTCGTATTTGACAGACTTGAATATAGTCTTTGGAAAACCATTTCTGTCATCTCTCTCCCTATCTTATCAGAACATTATCTTCTAACCATTCTGGAAAACAGTTTACCACAAATAAGTTAACCTGTACTTCTGTCAGTGATACAAAGAGAACATTCTGGCACTCTGGACTTATGTTTTTAAGACAACATTTTGTTAATATTAATTTCCTTAGCAAATATCAAGAATTATTAAACATTCATTAGAAACTTACTTTGATCCTTTGCTAGAAACTGATGTCTTAGTAAGTTTATAATCTTCACATTGGAAATACTAAAATATGACCTATCTTTTCCAAATGTGAACAAAGTACAAAAAAAAAGAGGAAAACTGCCAGAGGTTACAGTGGCCCTGAAGACTCAAGTCAGAGGGGGCACTAATAAGAAAACTGTAGAAGGGCCTTCATGTTGCCCCATATGTGTGCATTGATCAAAGGCTGAGACATGCAGCCCCAATGTTGAGAGCTTCGTGACTGACTGACCAGCTTCACAATCCTATCAAGATGACCTGGCTTTAGTTTAAGTACGTTCCCAAATGGGTCAGGCTTTTGTATGCCTGTATCAGTCAGTCATTGGCTACAGCAGACTACCTGACTGGGAGAGAGGGTCTAACCTCCCAATGCCTGTGAGCAAGAGGCTGCTGTTAATAGAGGGGAAATCTCCAAAAAGCTACAGCTGTGTGCTTCCAGTAGCCATTCACAGTAGCTGTGGATTGCTGCCCAGCGAAGGTGATGTGGCACCTGCCTGGCAAAGGTGATGTGGGCAGGACACCAACAGCATCTACTCCACAGCTGTAGCCTAAGACGATCTCTGGTGCTAGGGGAAGAGACAGTCAGTTATCCCCAAAGCCAAATCAAGCATTTTACTCAGGAGAATGGGAGACCCTGAACACTTCCCAATTTGGAATTTTCAGAGAGCATTTTTGTTAAGTGTAGACAAGGAAAGTAACAATAAATTGTCATGCTCCAAAACTATCAAATTCACCCATTGGTTTATTGATTCAGAAAAAATGTATTGAATGGCTAGTATCTGCTAGGCTAGACTCTGGAGCTACATGGATAAAGAAGTGTTGTGCCTGGCCTTAAGTTGCTACTATGTAGTGATGAGGACAGGCATTTGGACAGATGATAATAGATGAGTTAGGACATGTATAATGGTAGAGACATGGGAACACCTACAAAGATTTGTTGCCTTATTTTGGGTTACTCTGTTCCAGGTGCTAGAGATGTATACACACAGTCTATCTCATTTAATCGCCACAATGCCCCTTTCAGATGAGCTCTGTTATCCTCTAGAGCATATGAGACAACTGAGGTAAGAAGTCCAAGGTCGCACAGCTGGTAAGTGATAGGTTCTATTTCCAACTCATGACTGATTCCCAAGCCCATGCTTCTGACTACACATCTGCTCTGACATATTAAGCTGGGAGGGCAGAGAGAAGAACTAGGAAAAGAACTTCCTAATTATTTAACCTATAAACCCAAAATTTGGGGATTTAATTAGGAAGAGAAAATGGAGATGATTTCGGGGATTGATTACCAAAAACATCATGTTTTTCTGCATTCTAAGCAATTGGCTTATTTTATGAGCAATCTCATGAACTGTTACACTATGGTCTTTAAAAAGAAGAAAAATAAGGTCATGTGCCAATCTGATATGTCTTATCTGCTGAAGCAAGGTAAAACTCTTATGCACATTTTTTTCTAAAATAGGGGATATTATCACTGTGACGATCAAAGTGTCTGTGAGTACAGAATTGTTCATTATTTATATAGCAACATAAATGCATGCAGCAATTTACTATACATAGCACCTGCTGAACAAACAACTCCCTGACTCCCTGCCCCAAAGAGCTGAGAAGAGTATAACAGAACAGTACAATGAAGGAAAAACATAATCGAGACAAAGGGAAGGCAGTTTGTGGTCTTTATGGCCAGAAACTTTCCTGGAACAGATATCATTTTGTGTTTAACATATTCAATGATGAGACTCTACACATTGTATTTGTGAAATATGGATTCACCTAATCAGATCTATTATTTTTATGTGCTTTGGGAAACCAATGAAACTATGTTTCAAAATCGTCTCTTTGGGAATCAAAGTTGAAAAAACGTCAGTGGTTTAGGAGAGAGTTGAAGAGTGGATAGCAAAGACAAAATAGGATGTACAAATTAATATAGAACTGGTCATGGTTTAGAAGGAATTTGTCTGAAAAGTTATTGGAGTGCTGTTTGTCTTATAGAATTATATTTCTGAGTTGGGCAATGGGTCAAAGTAAGGTTGACCTGTAAAGTCGGTAAAGATATAGAGTAAGGACCCTATGCAAATAATTTACTTCTATCTCTGACCGCAGATATAATCCCTCTGGTATACACAAGTCACAAGTGTGGCTTGTGGCTTATGAGAGGAAATGGGTAAAAGTGTGGTTTGAAGGACAGAAGTCATAACTATTTTGGAAAAGTTATTCAGATTAGCTTTTATGATGATGGTGATTATGAATCAGATTAGCTAGTGCTGGTGAGTTGTTTTAAACTAACACCTGCTAGGTTACATATATTCTTTAAAATGGTATGAATGTATCATAAAAATACTCATTGGACGAGTAATAGAGTAGGTGATCATATAACTTATTTTCTAAGCAGGACACTTTTGATGGTAAAAGAAGACACTATTAATCATCACCCCAACACAAAATGAGTAAACCATGACTGTTTTAGGTAAACCTGGACATGTTGTTACCCTAAATATTTGTAAGCTGTGTACCAAATGAGGAAATTGGCCAGGCTACCAAGAAAAATCTATGAAACCTGAATCCTTTGTATCCATCTCCAGCCTACAGAAAAGTCAGTTACCCTCCAGGAAGGAGGATAAATACAAAACTGCACTCCACAGAGCCTACTAGATAGCAGCCAGAATTAGGTTGCAGACAAGATTGAAGAGTGAGCTTGTCCTTATCACCTACTGCATTTCTTAACCAGTTGAACTGACTTCAAAGAAGCTTTCAATAAATTAGGTATTGATGGGATGTATCTCAAAATAATAACAGCTATCTATGACAAACCCACAGCCAATATCATACTGAATGGGCAAAAACTGGAAGCATTCCCTTTGAAAACTGGCACAAGACAGGGATGCCCTCTCTCACCACTCCTATTCAACATAGTGTTGGAAGTTCTGGCCAGGGCAGTCAGGCAGGAGAAGGAAATAAAGGGTATTCAATTAGGAAAAGAGGAAGTCAAATTGTCCCTGTTTGCAGATGACATGATTGTATATTGAGAAAAGCCCATCGTCTCAGCCCAAAATCTCCTTAAGCTGATAGGCAACTTCAGCAAAGTCTCAGGATACAAAATCAATGTGCAAAAATCACAAGCATTCTTATACACCAATAACAGACAAACAGAGAGACAAATCATGAGTGAACTCCCATTCAAAATTGCTTCAAAGACAATAAAATACCTAGGAATCCAACTTACAAGGGATGTGAAGGACCTCTTCAAGGAGAACTACAAACCACTGCTCAAGGAAATAAAAGAGGATACAAACAAATGGAAGAACATTTCATGCTCATGGGTAGCAAGAATCAATATCGTGAAAATGGCCATACTGCCCAAGGTAATTTACAGATTCAATGCCATCCCCATCAAACTACCAATGCCTTTCTTCACAGAATTGGAAAAAACTACTTTAAAGTTCATATGGACCCAAAAAAGAGTCTGCATTGCCAAGTCAATCCTAAGCCAAAAGAACAAAGCTGGAGGCATCACACTACCTGACTTCAAACTATACTACAAGGCTACAGTAACCAGAACAGCATGGTACTGGTACCAAAACAGAGATATAGACCAATGGAACAGAATAGATCCCTCATAAATAATGCTGCATATCTACAACTATCTGATCTTTGACAAACCTGACAAAAACAAGAAATGGGGAAAGGATTCCCTATTTAATAAATAGTGCTGGGAAAACTGGCTAGACATATGTAGAAAGCTGAAACTGGATCCCTTCCTTACACTTTATACAAAAATTAATTCAAGATGAATTAAAGACTTAAATGTTAGACCTGAAACCATAAAAATCCTAGAAGAAAACCTAGGCAATACCATTCAGAACATAGGCATGGGCAAGGACTTCATGTCTAAGACACCAAAAGCAATGGCAACAAAAGCCAAAATTGACAAATGGGATCTAATTAAACTAAAGAGCTTCTGCACAGCAAAAGAAACTACCATCAGAGTGAACAGGCAACCTACAGAATGGGAGAAAATTTTTGCAACCTACTCATCTGACAAAGGGCTAATATCCAGAATCTACAATGAACTCAAACAAATTTACAAGCAAAAAACAAACAACCCCATCAAAAAGTGGGCAAAGGATATGAACAGACGCTGCTCAAAAGAAGACATTTATGCAGCCAAAAGACACATGAAAAAATGCTCATCATCACTGGCCATCAGAGAAATGCAAATCAAAACCACAATGAGATGCCATCTCACACCAGTTAGAATGGCGATCATTAAAAAGTCAGGAAACAACAGGTGCTAGAGAGGATGTGGAGAAATAAGAACACTTTTACACTATTGGTGGGACTGTAAACTAGTTCAACCATTGTGGAAGTCAGTGTGGCAATTCCTCAGGGATCTAGAACTAGAAATACCATTTGACCCAGCCATCCCATTACTGGGTATATACCCAAAGGATTATAAATCATGCTGCTATAAAGACACATCTACACGTATGTTTATTGTGGCACTATTCACAATAGCAAAGACTTGGAACCAACCCAAATGTCCAACAATGATAGACTGGATTAAGAAAATGTGGCACATATACACCATGGAATACTATGCAGCCATAAAAAATGATGAGTTCATGTCCTTTGTATGGACATGGATGAAGCTGGAAACCATCATTCTCAGCAAACTATTGCAAGGACAAAAACCAAACACCGCATGTTCTCACTTACAGGTGGGAATTGAACAATGAGAACACATGGACACAGGAAGGGGAGCATCGCACACCAGGGCCTGTTGGGGGGTGTGAAGAGCGGGGAGGGATAGCATTAGGACATATACCTAATGCTAAATGACAAGTTAATGGGTGCAGCACACCAACATGGCACATGTATACATATGTAACTAACCTGCACATTGTGCACATGTGCCCTAAAACTTAAAGTATAATTAAAAAAAGAAAAAACAAAAAACAAAAAACAAAAACAAAGAAGCTTTGAAGAAAAAAGAGGAATCTTTAAGATGTGTGTGAAAACTACAACTTAAAGGGCAATACGTGGCAATATTTCTGGCTTATTGCTTGGGAAAATACGACCTGGTGAATGTGAGTCAGCATTTATCCACTCAGCAACTCTCTTCATTCTACAGAAGAAGACAACGGACTTATTAAAATGTAGACCAGTGTTTCTCAGCCTTGCCACTATTGACATCTTGGCCCGGATAGTTCCTTATTGTGGGGGAGCTGTCCTGTGCATTGTAGGATGCTTAGCAGATCATTGGCTTCTACCCACTAGAAGCCTCCCCCAGATTTGACAACCAAAAATGTTTCCAGACATTTCCAAGTATTCTCTGAAGGGCAAAATTATCCTTAGTTGAGAACCACTGGTATAGACCATGATCCTTTTTTGCCATTCTAACCACCACCAACTTAGTCCAGGCCCTGAAAGTCTACAAGTCCCTTGCATCTTTCAGTTAGAAGGGATCTCAGAGGAAATAAATCTTCTCTTCCACGTGTTTATTAAAGCATCTGTAACAACCCTGGCAGGCAATCACCTAGATTCTGCTTGGCTCTTCCAGCAGCAGGGAGGTCACTTCCTCAGGAGATAAGCTATCCCATAGTCAGACATTTTGAATATGAGACAGCTCATTAATGCCGAACTGAAATCAGCTTCTCTGATTCCCCCTCTCATCCTAGGAACTTTCCAAAGGAAGTGCTATAGAAGGTCTCTCCTCCCTATTCTACCACACAGACCTTCTAATATTTGGAATTTCCTTTCTTCCCAGAGAAGCTTCTCTATGCCTTCCACAATATCTCCCTTAAACAATCCTCCAGCTTATCTCTGTCTCAGAACTTTCCTAATAATGAAAACAATGATGGCAGCAAAGATGATGATGATGGAGGTGATGATGATGATGACTGTCAGGCCTCTGAGGCCAAGCCAAGTCATCGCATCCCCTGTGACTTGCGCGTATATGCCCAGATGGCCTGAAGTAACTGAAGAATCACAAAAGAAGTGAATATGCCCTGCCCCGCCTTAACTGATGACATTCCACCACAAAAGAAGTGTAAATGGCCGGTCCTTGCCTTAAGTGATGACATTACCTTGTGAAAGTCCTTTTCATGGCTCACCCTGGCTCAAAAACACCCCCACTGAGCACCTTGCGACCCCCACTCCTGCCCGCCAGAGAACAAACCCCCTTTGACTGTAATTTTCCTTTACCTGCCCAAATCCTATAAAACGGCCCCACCCTTATCTCCCTTCACTGACTCTCTTTTCAGACTCAGCCTGCCTGCACCCAGGTGAAATAAACAGCCATGTTGCTCACACAAAGCCTGTTTGGTGGTCTCTTCACACGGACACGCATGAAAATGACAATGGTGATGTTGGTGATGATAATGTTGATGATGATGTTGATGATGATGGTGGTGATGATGGTAAAGATGATGGTGATGATGATGATGGTGATACGGTGATGGTGGTGATGATGATAATGATGATGGTGTTGATGGTGGTGATGATAGTGGTGGTGGTGGTGGTTGTGGTAGTGGTGGTGATGATGTTAGTCACCATTTATTGAGTTCTTCTATGTGCTATATGCTCTTTATCCATCACAATGCAAACCAATGTACCAAGCATACAAACTACACCAAACAAAACTGGTGAATTAATCTATCTGATAAAGCACTGCCATCAAGTCACTGCCTGCTTCATGAATCTACCCTGGCTCTCTGCCATACAGTCTTTTTTCAGGTTTTTCAAGCCCTTCCTGAGGGTCTCCATTTTTGGAAGCAAATAGATGGCTCCCACTATTAAACCACTATTAAGTGAAAAATAGATTCTCCATTTCTCCCCATTGAGGGGTTCCAATGCCCTATGCCAAGTCTTTTCACTGCCCCCCATCCTCATGTACATTCCACCACAGAAAAATAAACCCAGACACCCTGATCCTTCTATCCCTGGAATGCCCTCCAACTGCCTCTACACCCACTCAAATCCTCCTCTTCTAAGCTAGGTCGAGGGCCTCCCTAATTTGCCTCCTTTACTCAGATTTTCAAGTTCCTCTTTGTGCCAAGCACTGTGCTGTACACTGAGATGTAGGACTTGTAGCTCCCTTCTCAGATAACTTGTGACAAAGATTTACTCATCAATGAGAGTACCCAGCCTCCCTCCTCCCACTTCCAGCCCACTCAGAACAACTTTGTTTGTCAGTTTGGATGCTTCACCTTCGCCACCTTCCAAAGAGAGTCTTTGCCAGGCTGGCTTCAGTGGCTTTGTAATGCAGAATTAAGAGAATGTATAGAGGAAAGGTAAGAGACAACAGAAGACTCATGATTTAAAAAAAAGAGAGAGAGTTAAGAGAGGCAAAAGAGACAAAATAAAACATATGGGTTGGGTATCAGTAAAGTTAGGGGTGTTACGTTTGAACAGCTTTAGAGCAGCCACAGCTATCAGGGATACTTGGGGAAGAGAGAAATAAACTTCTGAAGAGTGTTGTTGTAGGTTAAAAATTAGATCCCTTTTCATGTTCTTGAGCCTCAAGAAACATTTCTAATTACTTTTGGTTACTATATTGTGCTCTTTTGAATGCAACAGCATAAGAAGCCTGGGCTATATGGTCTTCAGTTTATGTTTATGTTATAATTATATTTAACATCTAAACTGAGTTACTCTTGAGAGTAAAAGGGGAAACTATTAATGATTATTCTGGGATAACAGGCATAAACTGGGACTGTGCTGGGCAAACCAGGATGTCCAGCCACCCAGCTTGTAGTATAATAAAATGTGGCAAGTAAAGGAGTGAATGTATCCAGGACATCTCTGAGGCTCAAAGAATGAGCATCTCACTCAGCGGGTGGCAAGAGAGAGGAGAGGATTTTTCTTCTGGAGAAGAAAAATCTTTCCACTTCTATGGGCCTACAGTGTGCTTTCTCTTTTCTAAATTAAACAACCTATATCACCTGTTAAAAACCACACTTTATCCTATCTCGTGTTAACTGTTTTTTTTTCTGGAGTGTCAACAAAGAGTAAAAAAAGGAAAACATCAATCTTTTATAGCATTGAAAGGAAAGAATATCATTCTTTTATATCTCTCACAATGTTGGGCAGTGTGGGAGATAAAAAAAAAAAGCGCAATTACTACATGTTGCTTGAGTAATTTGTTCCCCTAAACCAACCAAAATACGCATCCATTTTCCAGTTATTTTGTAATGGCCTTTGAGCAAATGCTCAGTACTGGGGCAATAGTATAATGTCAATACTTTCAGGCAAGCAGGAAAGCATTTCTATTTTTGATTAATGGAGAGGAGAGTGAACTAGAGTCTCATTTACCAGGCTTTGCCAACATCCCAAATCATCACTTAACCGTCCAACACATTTATACACCTACGTTGCCAAGTGGAGGTAAACACTATTTATCTTCATCTGCGGAAAAGGAAAATGCTCATTAGGCTCACCATCACTTTCCTCCCTCCACCCCCAATGTGCTTCCCCAACCTCAGTTGGCTTGAGTAAAGAATTTCCAACACGGTTCTGTAATCAGTGGGGAGGGCCCAAGAGAAAATCCACAATATCCCTTGTTCAGTTACATTCACTGTGATGTGGAAGCTTAGAAAACAGGAAATCCACCTTTAGCAGCTCATTTGAGGCAGCAAATTTCTGGCTGGGGTGGGGAGAACTTTGCTGCAAAATCACATCTTTGAACCCTCCAGAGTACAGATGGAGTGCTGAAAGTTGGGAAAGACCAGTGAAGTGGGCTGTAGTAAACGCCTAGACTTCAGACAGGAATGCTGCAGGCAGGGAAAGGAACTAACCTATGATGACCCAAAATGAGTCTTTTGATTTAGATATCAAGTCAATCCTGGCTTCCAGGCCAAGCCATCGCATCCCCTGTGACTTGCATGTATATGCCCAGATGGTCTGAAGTAACTGAAGAATCACAAAAGAAGTGAAAAGGACCTGCCCCGCCTTAACTGATGACATTCCACCATTGTGATTTGTTCCTGCCCCACCTTAACTGAGTGATTAACCTTGTGAATTTCCTTCTCCTGGCTCAGAAGCTCCCCCACTGAGCACCTTGTGACCCCCACCCCTGCCCACCAGAGAACAACCCCCTTTGACTGTAATTTTCCATTACCTTCCCAAATCCTATAAAACGGCCCCACCCCTATCTCCCTTCGCTGACTCTCTTTTCGGACTCAGCCCACCTGCACCCAGGTGATTAAAAGCTTTATTGCTCACACAAAGCCTGTTTGGTGGTCTCTTCATATGGACGCGCATGAAATTTGGTGCTGTGACTCGGATCGGGGGACCTCCCTTGGGAGATCAATCCCCTGTCCTCCTGTTCTTTGCTCCGTGAGAAAGATCCACCTACAACCTCAGGTCCTCAGACCGACCAGCCCAAGGAACATCTCACCAATTTTAAATCAGGTAAGCGGCCTCTTCTTACTCTCTTCTCCAACCTCTCTCACTGTCCCTCAACAACTTTCTTCTTTCCATTCTTCAATCTCTCCCTTCTCTTAATTTCAATTCCTTTCATTTTCTGGTAGAGACAAAGGAGACACGTTTTATCTGTGGACCCAAAACTCCGGCGCTGGTCACGGACTGGGAAGGCAGCCTTCCCTTGGTGTTTAATCCTTGCAGGGATGCCTCCCTGATTATTCAACCACGTTTCAAAGGTGTCAGACCATGCGGGGATGCCTGTCTTGGTCCTTCACCCTTAGTGGCAAGTCCCACTTTTCTGGGGAAGGGGCAAGTACCCCAACCCGTTCTCTCCTTGTCTCTACCCCTTCTCTGCTTTTCTGGGGGAGGGGCAAGTACCCCTCAACCCCTTCTCCTTCACCCTTAGCGGCAAGTCCCGCTATTCTGGGGGAGGGGCAAGTACCCCTCAACCCCTTCTCCTTCACCCTTAGCGGCAAGTCCCGCTTTTCTGGGGAAGGGGCAAGTACCCCTCAACCCCTTCTCCTTCACCCTTAGTGGCAAGTCCTGCTTTTCTAGGGGGCAAGAACCCCCAATCCCTTATTTCCACACCCCGACCTCTTATCTCTGTGCCCCAATCCCTTATTTCCACACCCCCAACCTCTTATCTCTGTGCCCCAATCCCTTATTTCCATGCTCCAACCCTTTCTCTGCTTTTCTGGATGGCAAGAAACTCTCACTCCTTCTCTGTGTCTCTACTCTTTTCTCTAGGCTTGCCTCCTTCACTATGGGCAAGCTTCCACCTTCCATTCCTCCTTCTTCTCCCTTAGCCTGTATTCTTAAGAACTTAAAACCTCTTCAACTCTCACCTGACCTAAAATCTTAGTGTCTTATTTTCTTCTGCAATGCCACTTGACCCCAATACAAACTCGACAGTAGTTCCAAATAGCCGGAAAATGGCACTTTCAATTTTTCCATCCTACAGGATCTAAATAATTCTTGTCATAAAATGGGCAAATGGTCTGAGGTGCCTGATGTCCAGGCATTCTTTTACACATCAGTCCCTTCCTAGTCTCTGTGCCCAGTGCAACTCATCCCAAATCTTCCTTCTTTCCCTCCCGCCTGTCCCCTCAGTCCCAACCCCAAGCGTCGCTGAGTCTTTCTAATCTTCCTTTTCTACAGACCCATCTGACCTCTCCCTTCCTCCCCAGGCTGCTCCTTGCCAGGCTGAGCTAGGTCCCAATTCTCCCTCAGCCTCCGCTCCTCCACCCTATAATCTTTTTATCGCCTCCCCTCCTCACACCTGGTCGGGCTTACAGTTTCATTCTGTGACTAGCCCTCCCACACCTGCCCAGCAATTTATTCTTAAAAAGGTGGCTGGAGCCAAAGGCATAGTCAGGGTTAACGCTCCTTTTTCTTTATCCCAAATCAGAAGCGTTTAGGCTCTTTTTCATCAAATGTAAAAACCCAGCCCAGTTCATGACTTGTTTGGCAGCAACCCTGAGACGCTTTACAGCCCTAGACCCTAAAAGTTCAAAAGGGCGTCTTATTCTCAATCTACATTGTATTACCCAATCTGCTCCCGACATTAAATAAAACTCCAAAAATTAAATTCCGGCCCTCAAACCCCACAACAGGATTTAATTAACCTCGCCTTCAAGGTGTACAATAATAGAAAAAAGTTGCAATTCCTTGCCTCCACTGTGACACAAACCCCAGCCACATCTCCAGCACACAAGAACTTCCAAACGCGTGAACTGCAGCGGCCAGGCGTTCCTGGGGAACCTCCTCCCCCAGGAGCTTACTACAAGTGCCGGAAATCTGACCACCAGGCCAAGGAATGCCCACAGCCCAGGATTCCTCCTAAGCTGTGTCCCATCTGTGCGGGACCCCACTGGAAATCGGACTGTTCAACTCACCTGGCAGCCGCTCCCAGAACCCCTGGAACTCTGGCCCAAGGCTCTCTGACTGACTCCTTCTTGGCTTAGCAGCTGAAGACTGACGCTGCCTGATTGCCTTGGAAGCCCCGTAGACTATCACGGACGCCGAGCTTTAGGTAACTCTCACAGTGGAAAGTAAGTCCGTCCTCTTCTTAATCAATATGGAGGCTACCCACTCCACATTACCTTCTTTTCAAGAGCCTGTTTCCCTTGCCTCCATAACTGTTATGGGTATTGACAGCCAGGCTTCTAAACCTCTTAAAACTCCCCAACTCTGGTGCCAACTTAGACAACACTCTTTTATGCACTCTTTTTTAGTTATCTCCACCTGCCCAGTTCCCTTATTAGGCCGAGATATTTTAACCAAATTATCTGCTTCCCTGACTATTCCTGGATTACAGCTGCATCTCATTGCCGCCCTTCTTCCCAATCCAAAGCCTCCTTTGCGTCCTCCTCTTGTATCCCCCCACCTTAACCCATAAGTATAAGATACCTCTACTCCCTCCTTGGCGACCAATCATACACCCCTTACCATCTCATTAAAACCTAATCACCCTTACCCCGCTCAATGCCAATATCCCATCCCACAGCATGCTTTGAAAGGATTAAAGCCTGTTATCACTTGCCTGCCGCAGCATGGCCTTTTAAAGCCTATAAACTCTCCTTACAATTCCCCCATTTTACCTGTCCTAAAACCAGACAAGCCTTACAAGTTAGTTCAGGATCTATGCCTTATCAACCAAATTGTTTTGCCTATCTACCCCATGGTGCCAAACCCATATACTCTCCTATCCTCAATACCTCCCTCCACAATCCATTATTCTGTTCTAGATCTCAAACGTGCTTTCTTTACTATTCCTTTGCACCCTTAATCCCAGCCTCTCTTCGCTTTCACTTGGACTGACCCTGACACCCATCATGCTCAGCAAATTACCTAGACTGTACTGCCGCAAAGCTTCACAGACAGCCCCCATTACTTCAATCAAGCCCAAATTTCTTCCTCATCTGTTACTTATCTCAGCATAATTCTCATAAAAACACACGTGCTCTCCCTGCCAATCGTGTCCGACTGATCTCTCAAACCCCGGCACCTTCTAGAAAACAACTCCTTTCCTTCCTAGGCATGGTTAGCGCAGTCAGAATTCTTACACAAGAGCCAGGACCACACCGTGTAGCCTTTCTGTCCAAACAACTTGACCTTACTGTTTTAGCCTAGCCCTCATGTCTGCGTGCAGCGGCTGTCGCTGCTTTAATACTGTTAGAGGCCCTCAAAATCACAAACTATGCTCAACTCACTCTCTACAGTTCTCATAACTTCCAAAATCTATTTTCTTCCTCATACCTGACGCATATACATTCTGCTCCCCGGCTCCTTCAGCTGTCCTCACTCTTTAAGTCCCACAATTACCATTGTTCCTGGCCTGGACTTCAATCTGGCCTCCCACATTATTCCTGATACCACACCTGACCCCCATGACTGTATCTCTCTGATCCACCTGATATTCACCCCATTTCCCCATATTTCCTTCTTTCCTGTTCCTCACCCTGATCACGCTTGATTTATTGATGGCAGTTCCACCAGGCCTAATTGCCACACACCAGCAAAGGCAGGCTATGCTATACTACAAGCCACTAGCCCGCCTCTCAGAACCTCTCATTTCCTTTCCATCGTGGAAATCTATCCTCAAGGAAATAACTTCTCAGTGTTCCATCTGCTATTCTACTACTCCTCAGGGATTATTCAGGCCCCCTCCCTTCCCTACACATCAAGCTCGAGGATTTGCCCCCACCCAGGACTGGCAAATTAGCTTTACTCAACATGTCCCGAGTCAGGAAACTAAAATACCTCTTAGTCTAAATAGACACTTTCACTGAATAAGTAAAGGCCCTTCCTACAGGGTCTGAGAAGGCCACCACAGTCATTTCTTCCCCTCTGTCAGACATAATTCCTCAGTTTAGCCTTCCCACCTCTATACAGTCTGACAACAGACCAGCATTTATTAGTCAAATCAGCCAAGCAGTTTTTCAGGCTCTTAGTATTCAGTGAAACTTTTATATCCCTTACGGTCCTCCGTCTTCAAGAAAAGTAGAACGGACTAAAGGTCTTTTAAAAACACACCTCACCAAGCTCAGCCACCAACTTAAAAAGGACTGGACAATTACCCCTTTGCTTCTCAGAATTCAGGCCTGTCCTCAGAATGTTGCAAGGTACAGCCCATTTAAACTCCTGTGTAGACACTCTTTTTTATTAGGCCCCAGTCTCATTCGACACCAGACCAACTTAGACTGTGCCCCCAAAAAACTTGTCGTCCCTACTATCTTTTGTCTAGTCATACTCCTATTCACCGTTCTCAACTACTCATACATGCCCTGCTCTTGTTTACACTGCTGGTTTACACTGTTTCTCCAAGCCATCACAGCTGATATCTCCTGGTGCTATCCCCAAACTGCCACTCTAAACTCTTGAAGTAAATAAATAATCTTTGCTGGCAGGACTACGCTGAATCTCCTTAGGCACTCTCTAATCAGATGTCCTAGGTCCTCCCAATTCTTAGACCTTTTATACCTGTTTTTCTCCTTCTGTTATTCCATTTAGTTTCTCAATTCATCCAAAACCGTATCCAGGCCATCACCAATCATTCTATATGACAAATGTTTCTTCTAACATCCCCACAATATCACCCCTTACCACAAGATCTTCCTTCAGCTTAATCTCTCCCACTCTAGGTTCCCACACCGCCCCTAATCCCGCTTGAAGCAGCCCTGAGAAACATCGCCCATTCTCTCTCCATACCACCCCCCAAAAATTTTCGCCGCCCCAACACTTCAACACTATTTTGTTTTATTTTTCTTATTAATATAAGAAGGCAGGAATGTCAGGCCTCTGAGCCCAAGCCAAGCCATCGCATCCCCTGTGACTTGCACGTATACGCCCAGATGGCCTGAAGTAACTGAAGAATCACAAAAGAAGTGAAAAGGACCTGCCCCACCTTAACTGATGACATTCCACCATTGTGATTTGTTCCTGCCCCACCTTAACTGAGTGATTAACCCTGTGAATTTCCTTCTCCTGGCTCAGAAGCTCCCCCACTGAGCACCTTGTGACCCCCACCCCTGCCCACCAGAGAACAACCCCCTTTGACTGTAATTTTCCATTACCTTCCCAAATCCTATAAAACGGCCCCACCCCATCTCCCTTCGCTGACTCTTTTCGGACTCAGCCCACCTGCACCCAGGTGATTAAAAGCTTTATTGCTCACACAAAGTCTGTTTGGTGGTCTCTTCACATGGACGCGCATGAAACTTGCCACTGAGGCCAAGAATGTTCTCTGGTTCTGCCGAATCTGAGATGGAACCTCTGTTGATTGGTCAGCTTTGTTATAACATTGTTTACGACCTATTGCTTAAGACGTATTTCTGGGATGCAACCAGTTTTCCTGATAGCTGATATTTGTTTATTTACCTCTGCATATATTTATTTAATATGACATAACTTTGGCATTATATTAAAAGAAGGAAGGAAGGAAGGAAGAAAAGATGTTTCCGTGTGGTCAGGCTGAAAGGGCATTGGCAACAATTCACTGTATTTCATAGAATGGCAGAAATTTGAGTAAACTACTGGTCAAATCATATCACCCTCACCTTCTCTCCATTTTATTCCTTGAGTTTCCTAAGGCACTCAATAAGACAGATCCTACTTCCCAACACCAATATTATTGAGGAGTTCGCTTTAAAGGAAAATGAAATATACACATTAATGAAACTACTACTTTTCCATCAAAATGTCATTGTTACCACCACTGAAGAGGATTACAAATGGCACCTTAAGGTTAGGCTCAGTTCAAGGCAGATTATAACTAGTAACTATCGGCCACAGGCTTTTGGTACATTTTATCATGTTTTGTGGTTTAACGCCAAACAATTAGGCCAAAGGGTGCAGGGAGTTAAAGCTCAATAAAGATCTGGGAGTCAAAGCAGTCATCTGTCCTTTTACTTTTCTGCTAATTAATATTTAATTGTTGTTTAGAGGGTATGTAAGTGGAAATAGCCATTTCCTTCCTGTGATCATCCTAGCAATGGTAGTTACTTCTCCACGAACAGAAACAAGAATTTCCTTTTAGCTGCTTGCCTGTGAATAAAGCCTCATTTATACATGCCAGCCAGTATGCTTCTAAAAGACTATGTAAGAATTTCACTTTAGCTAAGTTACTTATCTAAAGAAATAAACATTAGACTTTGGGTAGCCTTTGCTAAGACATTTGTTCCCATAGCTAAAGTTTTCTGCAATTTACAGTTCCTTGTGGTTTCATAATTTAGAGATCAGTTTATGGGGAATATATCCAAATCAATTTACTTATGCACTTACAATTACTGAAATGCTCCACCTTTCCAACAATACAAGGAAATACTTGCTTTCCTAGTATTTCTCATTTTTTTCAACAATACTAGGAAATGCCTAGTTTCCTACAAAGATTAAAATTCCCTAAACACTAGAGTTGAATACAAGCTTTATGTTTTAGAATTTCATCATGTTTGTGAGGATCCCCCCAAAATATACATTTTTCTCCTTTCTTAAACAGAATATAATATGTATATAATACTTTCCTCGGTTATCGGAAAGGCTGCCAACACTTACTACAGGTAGTTCTGGGGAGGACTAAAGGGAAATAAGAGACCAATTGCATTCAAAACTTGAACCCTTTCATGGAAATCACACAGTCCACCTTTGGGATTTATCATACCCCTTCTCATTCAAGTTTATAAAGTCTCTGGAGAGAAAGACATCCATTCCAAATCTCAAATCCTCAAACACCCATCCCCTGCCACACAAGCTCACAAAAAGAATATGCGGAGGAGTCACCAAGGAAAACCACTCTGCTTATCATAATTAGGCAAATGAGCAAACCCAATCCCCCCAGAGGAATCAGGTAGATACAATAAGATAAATAAGGGAAATGCTTGTGTGTAGAGAAAGAGGGAGAGTTCCACTTGTGAGGTACTGGAGAGCACATTGTCTAAAGGGGGAAGCTGCTGCTCACCTCCAGCTCACTGGGGCCAAGCAAGATTGCAGGTCCCCTTGCTGCCAGCTTTTCTGACTTTACAAGAGCAGCTAGGAGTACACATCTTTATGTAACAAGTCCCTGTTATTTAAATAGTATGCGGAATAAACAAAAGCTGTCTCAGCTCAAAGGTGAACTGCGGGCTGTCTTTTATCAACACCTAGTGAAAGGCATCGGACTCAGGCTCTTATATAAACACGAATTCTTGTGAATGAAACTCATCAACTGAGTGAAGCCACGCACAAGCCCCAAAACTTCCATTTGGTGCACCTGGACCAAATTTTGTGTTAGAAATATTGATATCAATCCCAATCAGTCCTGTGGGTCCAGCCTCCTAATGTCTCAGAAATCCATCAACTTCTTTCCATTTTCACAGTTACCACCATCCTTAGATGAGAGAAAGACATTTATTCCAAATCTCAAATGCTCAAAGACCCATCCACTACCACAAAAGCTCACAAAAGGAATATGCGCCTGCCACCTCTACAGCTTCCTGCACGGATGCCCTGTGACCCACCCAGTCCATGCTCCCCAGAGCTATTCATCGATGCAGACCTGTGTCTACCCTCGTGTGACACTGGCCTCCTTTGAAACTCTTCCATGGCTTCCCATCACTCCTAGAATAAACTTGAAACTCCTAAGGTGAGGTGCAAGAGGCCCTGCTTCTGTGCCACCTGGTCTTGTCCCTGTGTCCCCTTTGCTGTCCTCCTCACTGGCTGGGCTCTTTCAGACTCTCACATGTGCAAGCTCCTTCCCACCACAACTCCCTGTTTGTTACAGGTTTTATCTTTTCCTGGAATGACCTTCTCTTGGCTCTCTGCCCATTTTTCCCCTTTTTCCTTCAGGTTTCAATGTAAATATCATCTCTCCTTGGAGAAAACATCTATGATCCCCATAGTTCACCTCTGTATCTACCTGGTTCCTCTGGGGGGATAGGGTTTGCTCATCTGCCTAATTATGATAAGCAGAGTGGTTTTCCTTGGTGACTCCTCTGCATATTCCTTTTGTGAGCTTCTGTGGCAGTGGATGGATGTTTGAGTATTTGAGATTTGGAGTAAATTGTGTCCATCAAAATGATATGTCGAAGTTCTAACCCCGGTACCTGTGAATGTGATATTATTTGGAAATAGGGTCTTTGCAGATGAGGCCATTAAGGTGGGACCTATTCCAACGTGACAAAAAAGTGGAAATGTGGACACACAGACAGACACAGACAGACACACACACAGGAGGAATACCATGCGAACATGAAGGCAAAGATGAGGGTGATGCCGCTACAGGCCAAGGAACATCAAAGACTGCCAAGAGTTACCAGAAGCCAGAAAGAGACCTGGGACAGATTGCTCCTCACAGCCCTCAGAAGGAAAGGACCCTACTGACACCTTGATCTTAGACTTTCAGCCTCCAGAACAGTGAGAGAATAAATCTTTGTTGTTTGAGCCACCCAGTTAGCGGTGCTTTGTTATGGCAAGCCTTATGAAACTGATACAACCACCCAATCTAAAGTAGGTTCCTCCCGTTAGTACTTCTTTCTCATACTTTGAGAAGGCATGAGCGCCTGTTACAGTTTGTATTACTCACTGGTTTGTTTACCTGTGTCAAATACTTCTCTCCTACCAGACCATAAGAAGCACGAGGTCACAAACCATGCTCATTTTGTTCACCTCTGTATGCCTGGACAGCACCAGTCCTGCTCAGTAACAGCCGTTTTCATTCCATGAATTGTGCTTTAATACTTCACACTCCTTTTGGTTTTTGAGATGTGTGGGCAAAACTAAATAGTCCCAGATTGCTGGCCTGATACTTACTACTCCTTCTGCACTCTCAGAATCATGGAACTGTAGTGCTAGAGAGACCCCGGAAATCAGTTAGCTACCCACCACCACCAGCCCCCACTGGTTTTTCAAATGAGAAAATTGTGCCTTCTCCATATGCAACCAGCTCTCACTTCCTACAGCTGTCAGTCACTCCTGCTGCTGAACAGCAACACTGTATTGGCTCCAGCTGCTAAGCCTGAGGGTCCAGAGGTGGCTTCCCCTCACCTGCAGAAGTAAGCACATGACTCTGTGACAACTATTCGCTGCTCAATGGCATTTCTGCTTTATTAGAATAATAGAATTTTATGCCTCAAAGAGTCCTGTGACGTCATCTGAGAAACCTCATCCCCTTATTTAATGGAGTAGGAAAAGTCTCAAGTCATATACACTTTAAAAGTAGTAAGACTGTGGCCAGGCACAGTTGCTCATGTCTGTAACCCCAGCACTTTGGGAAGATGAGGCAGAAGGATCGCTTGAGCCCAGTAGTTCGAGACCAGCCTGGAAAGCATGGTGAAACCCTATCTCTACAAAAAATAGAAAAATTAGCAGGGTGTGGTGGTGCATGCCCGTGGTCCCAGCTACTCAGGAAGCTGAGGCAGGAGGATCGCTTGAGCCCCGGAGGCAGAGATTGCAATGAGTCAAGATCACACCACTGTACTCAATCCTGGGTGACAGAGTAAGACCCTGTCTCAAAACAATAAAGATTTTTTTAAAAAGTCACAAGATTGGGCTGGGCTTGGTGGCTCATGCTTGTAATCCCAGAGCTTTGAGAGACCACAGTGAGAGGATCACTTGAGCCCAGAAGTTCAAGACCAGCCTGAGCGACATAACAAGACATCATCTCTAAAAAAAAAAAAAAAAAAAAAAAAAAAAAAAAAATTTAAGTAGCCAGGAATGCTAGCACCCACCCATAATCCCAGCTACTCTGGAGGCTGAGGCAGGAGAGTCACTTGTGAGCTGCGATTGCACCACTGCACTGCAGCCTGAGTGACAGAGTGAGACCCTGTCAAGAAGGGAGGAAGGAAGGAAGGAAGGAAGGAAGGAAGGAAGGAAGGAAGGAAGGAAGGAAGGAAGGGGAAAAGGAAGAAAGAGAGAGAAAGAAAGAAAGAAAGAAAGAAAGAAAAAGAAAGAAAGAAAGAAAGAAAGAAAGAGAAAGAAGAAAGAGAGAGAAAGAAAGGAAGGGAGAGAGAGAGAAAGAAAGAAAAAGAAAAGAAAGAAAGAAAGAAGAAAGAGAAAGAAAGAATAAAGAAAGAGAAAGAAAGGAAAGAAAGAAAGAAAAAGAAAGACGGAAGAAAGAGAAAGAAAGAAGGAAGGAAGGAAGGACGGAAGGAAGGAAGGAAATTCCTGTGAATTACCCACTTCACTACTCTCAAGTTCTCCAGATATTCCTGAGCACTTCCCAATTGTCCACCTCCAATGGGCCAGGAATGTGCCCCTTGGACTTTTCCGTTCAAATGCCACCTGGGGCTGGCTATGCCTGGGGTGGCCCCAGCACAGCCCTGTCCTTGTGTCTCTTCTGTTTCCTTCTGTTGACCTCTTGTCTACTTACCCCAAAAGTGGAACCTCATTCTTCTCAACACAGCTGATGCAGGGCTGTAAACTGGTAGTGAGACTTTCCTGAAGGTTCATGAAGAATAGAAAGGAAATACAACACAGCAAACAACATACAACTGCTGCCCCCATCCACAGCTGTTCAAAGCCCTGCCTGGCCACAGCCTGCCTTCCCATGGTCAGAAAAGCTTACGGGGCTCTATCACCAGTGGGGGTACTTCAGGCTTCCCCCAGCCTCGAAGTCTCAGCCCAGTGGACCTCTGGCCACAGAGAAGGCAGAAAGGCCTTCTTTTAGCTCAGCCTAAGGCCCACCCACTTTCTGCTCTAAGACGAATACCTCCTAAAAATTTCACTCCTTTTAAGGAAGCCCCACCCCAGCCCTCCATGGTGTCATCTGTATGTGTGTGCTTCAGCTGCTATAATAAAGTGCCACAAACTGGGTGACTTTAAAAATAGAAATGCATTATCTCACAATGCTGGATGCTAGAAGTTCAAGGTCAAGGTGTTGGCAGGGTTGGTTCCTTCTGAGGGTTGTGGGGGGAGAATCTATTCCCGGCCCCTGTGCTAGATTCTAGAGGCTTGTCAGAAGTCTTTGGCATTTCTTGGTGTAGAACACATCACTCCAATCCCAACTCCATTGTTCACATGGGTGTCTTCAATCCATCTTCCCTCTGTGCATGCCTGTCTCTGTGTCCAAACTTCCCCTTCTTAGAAGCACCAGTCATATTGGATCAGGACCCACCTAATAACCTCACTTTAAGATGACCTCCTTTGTAAAGACTCAATTTCCTAATAAGGTCACATTCTGAGGTACTGGGGCTTAGGACTTCAGCATATCTTTTTGAAGAGACACAATTCAACCCATAATACCCTCTAACCCCAGCAAGATAATCACACCATAGTCTCATAGCAATCTGTTTCTCAAAGTCTGCGTTATTCATTTTGAAATAGTGCCTCAACAACTGCCCAGTCCTGATTTGACTGCTTCAAGCTCATTCAAGTTTCTTATTCAGCACTCCCCCAAAACACTTTGAAGTCCGGGTTCACCCAGGGTTACATGTTTCACACACACACATACACATCAAATGCTTTGAACAATGTGTGACTATGTGACATTGAATAGTGACTGTGTGTATCAGGGGTGTGGGGTGCTGGTCACCTCTCCCTTTGCCCAAGGTTTTGAAAAGCAGAGGACACACGTGCACAATACACTGAATAGGAGACAAAGAAGAGCTTCATCAATCCAGACAAATACTCAGCACCTCATAGTAAACTGCTAATAAAACCTGGATTAGGAAGAGGGGTGGCTTAAGCCTGAAGTCTAAGTGTGTCTCCCTCTTCACACTCCAAATACATCTTGGGGTTAACATACTGCAACCACCTGTCTCTAGAGAAAGACAGAGAGAGATGAGCAGATTGCAGAGTGGGTTCCAAGTTCATGTACACAGCAAGTTTTCCACAGGTCCAATATAGGCCAACCTCAGGAGGCGCCTGGAAACACAAAGAAGACCATCACCCAGCCTAAGAACTCACCAGTTGCATAGTGACCTGACCCGCTTGGGAGAAGTGACTTGAAAATACCAAGCTCCGAGGAACCAGCAGGGAATTGAGCAGCTGAGAGACCAAAAGTGTTGCAACAATGTTCGCCTGAGTGAGGAGACCACGGTGGTCTAAAAATTGAAGGCTGAGGGTAGAGAGAAGGCTTACTGTCTTCTCAGTTCCATGTACAATACATGCCACCTACCATCAGCTCTTTCAATACAACATCACACTTTCTCAACAACCCCCATTCGGTAATATCTTTATGCCCTCTTTAGAGGTAAGGAACCTAATGCCTAGAGACAGTATATAATTGGACCATGTTTCATAGCCAATAAATTTAGGGAGGAAGCCAAAACTCAATCCCACATTGGGCTGTCTGACTCCAAGCTGTGACCCACAGTGTGATCATTTCCATTTTGTGTTAATGAATGATTCATAATGATCAGGAATTCATTGATTGTGATCGGTGTGGTTGAATTTCCTGTCATTTTCAGGGCTAGACAGATTAACTTCCAAAAGTTTATTACCAGGAGCCTCTGGAAAGAAAGGAAATTTATCCAAAAAGTTTTTGTAAAGATTTTACTCAACCCAGCCTCACACCAGGGACAGGGCTAGAGCCAGAACGCCCTTGTGGTGGCTGCCTCAATGCAAGCCAAGCTTTCTTTCCAGCTTCACAAAATAATTGTTGGCATTTGTGGCCAGGCTAATCTCAGAATAAGGGTTATCTCAGTGTTTCAGCAGCATAGGGTCTAAAATGGCATTTTTCAGAATTATAGTTGGGAAATACACACACACACACACACACACACACACGCACACACACATATAATATATAAAAGGATATAATTCAAAAGGATGAATCAGTTGAACCTATTTTTTAAAAATTCACAGAAAACCTTAAGAGCAGGAAAGATGACACCAAACAGGCTCTGTCAGGAGAATTGGTTGCTCTTTCCTTTGTGTGGCCATGGGGTCTTGATGGGCAGGTGAAGCTTTCAGTCTCTAATGACAAATAGCCACTTTGTAAATGCCACTTTTAAACCTTCTAGGTGTAAAATAAAATGATCAAGTCAAACCATCTTCCATTGAAGCAAAGAAAGAAGAGTTTCCAAATTTAATAAATTTCCTGAAAACTGATAATTAGGTCATTCAGCAGGTAAAATAACTAGAAAAGGTGAATGTGGGAACCTTCAGGCTCTCATCTCTACAAATGAGAGGGCTGCCTGCAAGGTAGGGGCTCAGCAACCTGCAATGAGATGATGGGAAATGCTGAGCCACAGTCATCTAAAGGTTGAGAATAAGCATCATCGTGTAGTACACTTGCATTGGGTGAGAGTTTTGCAGGGTTTCAAGGTTTTTTAAGGAACACTGTTCTCATCTGGCATGGGCAAGGGATATCCTTCTGCTGGCCTGGGGAGTTCAGGGTAATCTTATGGTAAATATTATTGGGCTCATCCACCCAAATGTCTTTATCTCAGATGTTAGGGTACTACTCTTAGGCTACTACTAACCTAACTTGGACATAAGAGACTGATCAAGTCTATGCATTCATTCTGCTAGCTGTGGTTCCTTAAAATTAAATTATGGGCCTCATTTTTAGCACAATCTGAAAGAAAACTCCTGAATAGAAGGGTATTTTTAAGTCTTAAACTATCCAGTATGGTAGCCACTAGCCACCATGTGTCTAATGAAGTCTTGAAATGTGGCTATTCCAAACTGCCATATGCCGGAAGTGTAAAATACATACTGGTCTTGAAAACTTAGTACCAAAAAGGTAACAGGACTTATTAATAAGTCTTTATATTTATTACATATCGAAATAATAGTTTTGATATATTGGGTTAAATCAAATACATTATTGGAATTAATCTCACCTGTATCTTTTTTACTTTTCACTTTATGGCTACTAGAAAATGTAAAATTACATATATGGTTCGTATTCTATTTCCATGGGGGCAGAACTGCTTTAAATGCTTCATGGGGGCTTCCAGGCTTTCCAAGTGTGCCTAGAGAGCAGAGTCGGCTATGCTGAGGTTGTTTTCCTTTCTCAAGGATTCTGAAGCTGTACAAAGTCAGTCAATTCCAATTTGCATCTGTCAAAACACATAGAACTTTATAGCACCAAGAATGAACCTTAATGTATGCAAATTTTTAAAAATCATTTAGGAGGTCAAAGAATCCCAAGACAGAATGCAGAATATGACAAAAGAGTCTAATTATCTTACAAGTGTACGAAACAACCTCACTGAAGGGGGTGAGGGGAAAAGGTGCTGACCGAAGTGACTTTGAACTAAGTGGAGTCTATAAGACTAAAGGCAAGAGGAACTGCACGGAAGCACTTTACTCAGCCAAAAAGTTGTTTCCCATAGTGGAACAGGTTAATGATTCTGAAATCACTATACACATGTACTGTAACTGAACAATTAAGTAAATGGCTGGCAGGTGGCAGGAGCCAGATTTCCCACTATTGGAGTGGGAGGTTACACAGCAGTGAGGCAAGGGGAGGAGACTAGAATGTGTGTGATGGGTTAGAGTTGGAGACATCCATATGAACTCTTGTTTAACTTAATACAGATATAGACGGTTACATAGCAAGCTACTGATGGAAATGTGTATATACACATATATATTTAACGTATTTCCTTGCTTAGTCAGCTGAGAGTGCCTAGAAGCAACAATACCTCAGCAGCAACAAGCACATTTAGTGCCCAGATTCTGTTTTCTAATACCATTTTCCGATAAAACGAAAGAGAGCTCCTTAGAAAAATAGCTGATTTTAGGCCTGGGGTAGAAAATATATATGATGAATATAGAGAATTCTGTCATGCCAGAAAACAAAGAAGTGCCACAATAAAAGAAAAAGGTTCATAATTATGGGGTATGTTAAAGGAATATGACAGCCAACTGAAAGAGCTCCCATTGGTCAAAGCTGGAACAATTTGAGCAATAAAATAAATAAAGTAGTATTGGATTATAACTCAAATCATAAAAGTAAATACCAGTGAGTCCACACTGATATAAATAAATGATTGAATGAATAAATAAATGAGGGATAAGAGACAAATATCCTATGCAGAAGAATTTCCCCAAAAATTATGTAGTTATTCTCAAGGATATGGAGCTTAACTCACCTACTCCATAAGTGAGGGCTGTGCACAGTGACTTCCTTCCAAAGAATACAGGATGGAGAGGGGCCAGAAAGAGTAACTTTACAGTGGAGAAACCTAGCAAACACTACCTGGGGCAGGTGATCAAGTTTAACATGAACAGTGATAAGCCATTTCTTAGTCAATTCAGGCTGCAATAACAAAATACCATAGAATGGGTAGCTTAAACAACAAAAATTTATTTCTCACAATCCTCCAGATGCAAAGTCCAAGATTAAGGTAGCAGCAAGATAGGTTTGGTTTTGAGGTGCAGCTGCTGTCTCATAGTAGGCTCACGTGACCTCTTCTTTTTGTGTGCACAGGGAGAGACAGCAAGCTCTCTGGTGTCTCTTCTTATCTGGGACCTTATAAGGGTACTAATCCCATCATAAAGACCTCACCCTCTAGTTATCTTCCAAAGGAATTATCTCCAAATACTATCACATTAGGGGTTGGGCTTCAATATATGAATTTTGGAAGGGACATTCAGTTCATAGCAGTCATAATGATAGCATTCTCTTGATATGTGATGAGAATGGCACTTAACCTCCACAGTCTTCTTTCCAAAAACACATAATCACAGTCTAGTTATGATAAAAATGTATGACAAATGTCCATTGAAGGACTTAATACAAAATAGCTGACTAGTACTCCTCAAAACTCCAAGGTCATCAAACACAGAGTCTGAGAAACAGCCACAGCCAAAAGGATCCTCAAGAGACAAGTAAATATAATGTGGTATCTTGGAAGAATTCTGGAGCAGGAAAATAACACAAGTGAAAACACAGGAAATCTGAATAAGTACGAGATTTACTGATTATAAGAATATACCATATTAATATAATATAGTAACAACAGGGGAAACTAAGTGTGGGATGCATGGGAATTCTGTATCATCTTCATGATTTTTCTGTAAATCTAAAATAAAACTGTTCAAAAATAAACAGGTTATTTTTTTAAAAAATACACAGAGGAATTTAGAAATTCTTCTACAATTGTCTTCCGGAACATAAAAGAAACGGTTTAACAATGGTATAGACATAAATAAAGAGAAAATTTATGAAAGTTAGACAAATGACAAAAGAACATATTCAGAATGAGACATGGTAAAACAAAAGGATGGGAAATATGAAACAGAGGGTAAGACATATAGAAGACACAAGACACAGTGAAAAGGAACCACAAAAGACCCAGAATAGACAAAGCAATCTTGAGCAAGAAAAACAAAGCTAGAGGCACCACACTACCTGATTGCAAAATATACTACAAAACCATAGTAATCAAAACAGTATGGAACTGGCATAAAAATAGAAACATAAACCAGTGGAACAGAGTAGATAGTCCAGAAATAAATCAAATCATTTACTGTCAGTTGATCTTCAACAAAGTTGCCAAGAGCACACAATGGGATTAAATAAATAAATAACTTAAATAAATTGTAGTAAGGAAATTGTATATCCACATGCAGAAGAAAGAAATTGGACCCTTATCTCACACTATCTACAAGAATCAACTCAAAAGGGATTAAAGACTTAAACATGAGACCTGAAACAGTAAATCTACTAGAAGAAAACATAAGAAAAATCATCCTTGACATTGTTCTGGGCAATAATTTTTTGGATATGACTCCAAAAGCCCAGGGAACAAAAGCAAAAAGAGACAAATAGGATTGCATCAAACTAAAAAGCTTCTGCACAACAACGGAAACATAAAGTATATGAACAACCTACAGAATGGGAGACAATATTTGCAAACCATACATCTGGTAAGGGGTTAATATCCAAAATATGTAACAAACTCAAAGAACTCAAGATCAAGAAAACAAACAACTCAATTTAAACATAGGCAAAGGAACTGAATAGACATTTCTCAAAAGATGACATCCAAAATGGCCAACAGGTGTATGAAAAAATGCTTAACATCACTAATCATTAGAGAAATGCAAATCAAAGCCACAATGAGATATTGCCTTACACCTTATTTGGTTAGAATGGCTACTATCAAAAAGACAAAATATAACAAGTGTTGGCAAATATTTGAAGAAAAGGGAACCCTTGTACACTGTTAGTGGACATGTAAATTTGTACAGCTGTTATGGAAAGCAGTATGGAGGTTGCTCAAAAAATAAAAATAGAAGTAACATATGATCCAGCAATTTCACTTCTGGGTATATATCCAAAGGAAATAAAATAAGCCTCTCAAAATACTCTCAAGTTTATTGCAGCATCAATCACAATAGCCAAGATATGGAACCTATCTAAGTGTCTACCAAGAGATGAATTGGTAAAGAAAATGTGGTGTGCCTGTGTGTCTGTCTGTGTGTGTGTGTGTGTGTGTGTGTGCATATATAATGGAATATTATACTGCCTTAAAAGGGAAGAGAATCCTGCCATTTGTGACAACATGGTTGAACCAGGAGGACATTGCGCTAAGTGAAATGAGTCAAATACATCATGTTCTCATTTATATGTGACCTCTATGAGGTCGAACTCATAGAAGCAGACAGTAGAATGGTGTTTGGCAGGGGCTTCTGTGGAAGGGAATGGGGTGACCATGTTGGTCAAAATGTACAAAATTTCAGTTATGCAAGATGAGTAAGTTCTGGAGGCCTAATGTACAGCATGGTGAGTATAGTTAATAATATTATATTGTCTTCTTGGCATTTGCTAAGAGTAGATCTTAAATGCTCTCACCACAAAAAAGGTAACCATGTGAAGTGATGAATATGTTAATTAGCTTGATTGGGGTAAATAATTTTATAATGTGTACCTACATCAAAACATTGCATCATACACAATAAATACATACAGTTTTCATCAATCATTCCTCAATAAAGCTGGGGAAAAATAAAATAAAATTAGAGCTCAAAAAAATGAGAAGGTCTAATATGTGTGTAATTGGAAAAGAAGCAATAATTGAAGAGATAGTGGCATTAAACCAGTGATTCAAAATGTCTTAAGGACCCCAAACAGATAAATTATTTTAAAAAATTCACACCAGCCAGATGCAGTGGCTCCACCTGTAATCCCAGCTACTTGGTAGTCTGAAGCAGGAGGATTGCTTGAGTTCAGGAGTTCGAGGATGCAGTGAGCTATGATCCAGTGCACTGCAGCCTGGGTGACAGAGTAAGACCTCATTTCTAAAATAAAAAAAAAAAACTTAATTAAAAAGTGTTCCACATCAAGTACATCATGATAAAATAGCTGAAAACCAAAAATGAAAAATGTAAATGTAGCAAAAGAATAAAGATTAATTGTCTTCAAAAGAATAACAATTAGAAATGATAACTGACTTCTCGACAGAAAAAAAAAAAAAAAACAGAAACCAACAGACAATGAGATACTTTTTAAGTGCTGAAAGAAACTGACAACCTAGAATCAAGTACCATGAAGGATATTTGAGGAAAATATAATTCAAGGATAACAGTAAAACAAAGCCACATTTGTACAAACAACCTGTTACTTGAAAGCCTTCACTAGATAAAAAGGGACCCGGATGGAAGCTTTGCGATGCAAGAAGGAATGAACAAAAAAAATGGTAAATATGTCGATAAATATGTAGATAAATACGAATAAATACTAAATGTATAAAACAATAATAACAACACCCCGTTAGGTCTTAAATGTACAAAGAAGTAAAACACACAAAAAATGATAGTATATAAACCTGAACAGACAGCAAATGAAGTTATAGTTTAAAAAATTATTGCATTTTCCAACAACAGGATAATACATACTAGACTCTGATAAATTTAAAACATATGCTGTAATTTATAGGGTACCTCAACCCTAGTAAAAGGGTATGTAACTAGAGGGAGGAGATGGAATAATAAAAGATAATCAATCCAAAAACAAGCAATGGAAAAGATAAAAAGAAACATAGAACAGACGAGACAAATAGAAAGCACATGATGAGATGGTAGATTCAAACCCAAATATATTGGTAGTTAGATATAAATGCACTAAGTGTTACAATTCAAAGGCAAAGATTGTCTGACGGTTTTTGTTTGTTTGTTTGTTTTTAAGACAGAGTCTCACTCTGTCACCTAGGTTGGAGTGCAGTAGCACAATCTTGGCTCACTGTAACCTCCACCTTCTGGCTTCAAGAGATTCTCGTGTCTCAGCCTCCTGAGTAGCTGAGATTACAGGCATGTGCCACCACATCCAGCTAATTTTTGTATTTTTAGTAGAGATGGGGTTTTGCCATGTTGGCCAGGCTGGTCTCGAACTCTTGACCTCAAGTGATCCTCCTGCCTGACATCCCGAAGTGCTAGGATTACAGGCATGACCCACTGCATTTGGCCCTGACTGAATTTTTTTTGAAGGATGTGCTGTTTGCAAGAAATATCTAAAATAAAAGAATACAGATGGTTTGTAAGTAAAAATATGGAGAAAGATATATCACACAAACACTCTGCTCCCCCCTCAAAAAAACTTGGATAGTTGTATTGATATTAGAAACAAAAGTAGACTTTAAGGCAAAAAGCAGTCATAAAGATAGAAATTTAATGATAATAGAAGGTTAGATTCAAGAGGAAGTTATAAAATTCTAAATTTGTAGGCATCTAATATAAAACAAAAGTTAACCAAACTGAAAGAAAAATAGACAAATCCAAAATCATTATATTTTCAACAAAGCTCTCAGTAACTGAAAAAGTGAATACATAAAAAGTCAGTAGAGATATGGAATATTTGAAAACATAATCAGCAAACTTGACCTAATAATGTTCAAAAAATGCTAAAACCAAAAATTATAGAAAACATATTATTTTAAAATACACCAAAAAATTTTCCCAAAAAATGGTTGAAACCATGCAACATATAGTTTCTAACTACATTTCAGTTTAGCTATAAATTAATATCAAAACGATAATCAGAATATTACAGTCCTGGACAAGTGAGCTGCTGGTCCCAACCCCAAGGTCAACCCTGACGAAACTAGAGAGAAAACTATGAGAATCCTTGAGGTGATGGGGGTGTTATAACGTGTGGTCATTGGGTAGTGGCTTTGACCAATAGACAAAAGTATCCACATAAATTCAGTTTTATAATACATTTTCCAAGTATAGAAATAGAGAAGTGTGTGGAGGGGGTAGGAACATGTGTGTATATATACATGTTTGTATTCCTACCTCTATCTTCTGAGAGGGCCCAGAGCAATGACACACTGGTAGCAATGAGCACTACCAGGACCTAAACCTTGTTTATGAAACTTTTGGAGAAATGACTCAGGGCTAGGTCAGGATAAAATGAGCCTAGAATATCTTTTTGCATCAAAAAGTAAGAATTCTCAATGAAGAATCAAGATACACCAAAAGAACACGGAAATCAGCTGGCAGGGCTCCTACTGGCTACATAGGGAAAAATATAAGCATCAAAATAATAAGAATAGACCACGGTACATTAAATAAAATAGAAATCTGTGAGTTTATACTGATACAAACAAAGAAATAAATAAATGAACAAGTAAAGCTCTTCCTTACAGTCAAATGCCAAATAATACATTTAAAAGAAGTGAGGAACCACCATTTGGAAACCACTACAGATGTGGTTGATTCACACAGGAGTGGTGAATAGACACCAAGGCTGTAGGGTGGGGGAGTTGATGAGGGCTAGGATATCTGCATAATCCCAGAACACTTCCAAATACAAATTACTTCCACATACAGTTACAAAAGGGGGAAACTGTGAATTTAAGCAAGAGAAACCTGGCAGACACCAAACCAAGTTAACATCACCTGTGGTGGAACGGGTCAACGTGGTGACATAATTCATCCCAATGAGATGCATTGAAAAGAACACAGCTTAGTCTCTGAGGTAAGCCCACCCTAATTTTCAGGGTCTGAGGATGGGCATGAGGAAAAATCAGATGGCCCATGGTAAGGTCATCCTAGAATGTAAGCCCTGCAATCCCTGAAACCATCCAGGACATCAAAGACTGTGACACACTGTAAATTTTGAATGTTAAACCAGTTTGGACCATATTGCTGTTTTTTCTTCTGTGAAACTTATTTAGGGTGTGTGTGTGTGTGTGTGTGTGTGTGTGTGTGTGTGTGTGTTCTTTAAAACAAAATTGGTTTGGGAAGTTCTTAAGCTCTTGAGACTAATTTTTGTGAGTTTGTAATTTGCTCTTTCATTTACTCTAACATATTACTTTACAGACAAAAGTTTTTCATTAATTCTGATTAAATTTATTAATCTTTTTCAATTCATGCTTTTTAAAAGGTTTAAAAATATTCACCTGAGTGCTTCACTTCATATTTCAAAGCTTTACTTTGAATATTTAGGTCCTTAACCCACCTGGAGTTGATTTTTTTTTCAAATGATTTATTTTGAAATGACTTTCAACCTAAAGAAAAAATGCTGGAACAATGCAAAGAACCTGCATACCCCTTTAGCTAGATCGTCATCAGTTAGTAACATTTTGCTACATGTATTCCGTTGCTTTGTATTTATCCCCATTAGCAATATTCCTTTTTCCGAACCTTTTGAGAGCAAGCTACAGGTATGATGTCTTGTCACTCTAAAAACTTTAGTATATGTTGCTCCAAACAAGGACAATTTTTTCTATAATCAGCATACAATTCCCCAATCAGGAAATCAACATTGGTGCAAAACTAATGCCTAATTCACAGACTTCACTGAAATTTTACTGGCTGTTCCAACAACATCTCTGTCTTTTCTTGTCTAGAATCTTATCCAGGAATACAGGTTGCATTTAGTTGTCATGCCTCTTCCAGTTGTTTCAGTGTGAGTGGGGACCACATAGGCATTCCCTTTGTCATAAGTCAATGAATTGTGCATGCTTGTTTTGTGCATTGTTCCGTGTGTATATTTCATGATAAAAACGTTGATTTGTTTTAAATAAAGTGTTTATTTTTAAGATGGAAGTTAATCACACTTCTACATTTCAAATTTAGCATTTGCTCCTAGATTTCAAATTACTGCATTCAAATCAAGTTCAATTTTTAAATTTTTTTTTTTTTTTTTTTTTTTGAGACAGAGTATTGCTGTGTTCCTCAGGCTGGAGTGCAATGGCATGACCTCAGCTCACTGCAACCTCTGCCTCCAGGGTTCAAGTGATTCTCCCGTCTCAGCCTCCCAAGTAGCTGGGATTACAGGCGCCTACCACCATGCCCGGCTAATTTTTGTATTTTTTGTAGAGATGTTGACCAGTCTGGTCTTGAACTCCTTACCTCAGGTGATCCTCCTGCCTCGGCCTCCCAAAGTGCTGGGATTACAGGTGTGAGCCACCGCGCCCGGCCAGCAAGGCCTTGAAGTTTCAACTAATTTTGTAAAGAGTCTCAAGATCAGAGAGTGAAAAAAATCACCTTACCAAGCCACAGATGCAAGGGTAGACCCAGGCCTCCCGAAGTAGATTTTTACTGGGGCCTCTACCAATGTATATACCTCCACAAAAATCTCCTTCCTCTCGTAATCTATATGATTGTTTAAATACAGTATAGTTATCATTTTAATGAAAAGTTATGTAATATAAATTCACATTTTTATTAAAGGTTTTAGCTGAAGATATTTAAATGACTGACTAAATTTATGAGAGAGATGTATTGCTAGACCAATCTATTCTAATAGAGCAGCGATTTTTTCTGACCTAGAATACAAAGATGGGATTTCCTAGTGGCCTTGACAACTGCTCTTGCAAATAATTTCAAAGGGTTGTTTGTCGAGGTGGCAGCTTCTGGAAAGCCGACCTATGATGGATTCATAGCAGGAGCTGGGGAATCAACTGGCATACTGCTCATCCAGACTAGGGCTGTAGCGCCATGAAACGAGAAAGGAAGTTGGTGCCCACCAGGCTTAAAATTAGACATAGTCTCTTTCTGGCCGTTCTAGGGATAAGGAATTTTGCATATTTATTACCTTAATTATGCAGACTTACTTTTGGGAGTTACTTTGGCTCAATTCAACATGCAGACCCAAACAGCACCTGTGACTTTTTCCCTCTCCTGAACTGTATTTGTTTCTTTAAACAAAATTGCTTATCAAAAAGAAATACGTTCTTTGCAAGAAGTTGGCTTATAAAAAGCACTCTTGCACGGATTTTATTCTTCGGATTGTGCGTTTCCACTCCTAATCCCATTCACAGAATTCTAGAAAATCCTCAGTTCACAAAATTTCAAAGGTGAAAACAGCTTTGGAAATTACTTCATAGTCCACTCTCCTTCATTTTCCAAAGTGTGGGGGTCAGCCTGTGAGCTGGGTTTCCCTGCCCCTGTTCACTGCTCTTCCCACTGCATCTTCAACCCCAAGTATGATGTGAGATGAGCTTTTCACATTAATAAAAGAGGGAACGTTCTCCAAAGCCACCTCCAACCATGGATGCTACCGTTCCCAGACAGCATGCATTGACAACCATGAAATGCAATATCCTTTAATTAAAGAACTACGAAGAATCAACCCTGCATGGAGCCTGGACTGCAGAACGACCTGTAATTTAAAAGATGAGAATTTTTCAAAAAATAAAATGTCATGTGCATCTATCTACCCAGAAAATCATTTATGTAGAGTACCAACTCTGTTTGCCTCTCTCTTCTTCACTTTTAAAAAGACTCAGGCCTATGAGGGAGGTTGGGACGCCTGGGGAGGAAAATGAAGAGAGGAAAAAGTCAGCGGGGGTTCCCTCCCGGGGTAGGGCGGTGAGGCGCAGCCACGTCCCAAGGGCAAGAACCGGATCGGCCCGGGGCGCGGCGCGGGCGGCTGTGCGCACGCGCGTGGGTTCACCCGCTTCATTGAGGCCCTCAGCCCTGCCTACTCCACATCCCCAGCGCCCCACGCTCAGAGTTACAGGGGAGGGGTTGGAGAGGATCCCAGAAAATGATGCTGTGAAGATCCCAGGTGGATAAGCAGGAGGAAGGCAAGGACGTTGAGGGCAAAAAACCTTAAGCCACTCCCAAGCCTGGGCTCTGCACGAGTCTGAGCGAGGTTGGGGGCCCGCAGCTGGTGGCCTGGTCCGGGAAAGCTGGGCCGGCCCCACGCGGAACCCCGAGCGAGGGGCGGAGCCGTGGGCCGGGCCGCGTGGCAACCCCCCTGAGGCCCCGCCCCTCGGAAAGCCTCCCGCCCTGCCATTGGAAGACGTCGGGGGAGGGTCCGAGAAACGCCCCCCTCTCGCCACCAGCCCCCGCCCCACCCCTTGTCCGCCCACGTTTTCGGTTCTTCCCGGAGCCTCCGAGCTCGGGGAAAGGAAACACCCGGGGCCGCCACCGTGCCCCTGGACACCGGAAGGCGAGCCCCCAACCGCCCCGCCCGCAGGCCGGTGACATAACCAGGGGCGGGGAGACATGACTCCGCCCCCAGGGCCAGGAAGGCTGCATGGGAGTCTGAGGCTCCCGCGGGACGTGAGTTAGGGGCCGCACATTGCAGACACCTCACGTCACCAAGTGCTGCAGTAGGACCCCCGCAGCTTCCCCTCGGCCCCCTACCCTCCACAGCCTGTCCTACCCCCGTTATTTTGCACCTTTCTCCCCCTTTGTCTATGCATCTCCAAATATCTGAGTATGGGGACGGCAAGATTGGCCCTAGAGGGCAAGCTGCCTGTAGAAGCAAATTCAACGCTTCTCCTTAATCCGTGTGCATTTCTACAGTTTGACAGCTTGACGTCCTCTAGTGTAGTTTGGCAAAATTTGGGGGGTCGTTTTCATTTTTTTCTCTCCACAGGCTTAAGGATTAAAGCTGGCCAATGCCTTCTTTAGCATTTTATTAAAGACGCTACAATTTAGACTTTTTTTTTTTCTGTTTGGTGCAGAAGAAAGGAAGAAAACCAGAGCTTAAAGGCGTTTAGAAAGGAAATAGCCCTGTTAGTTTTTCGGTTTTGACTCAAGCTGTCGTCGATAGCAGCTTGCACCTAGCACAAAGCCAGCTGCAGAAGTATTTTGTTGCAGGGTAGGCTACACCTACACAGGGTCTGTGCCTGAGCATCAAAAGACAGTGCAGGTGTGTGTGGGTCCGGGTGTGCGTGTGCGTACGTGATGTACGTGTGTGCGTGTGGGTACGTGTGTGTGTAGCCCAACAAATAAGCCCAAGAGGCGCATCAAGATTAGAAAGAAGTCCGCACACCAGCGCTTGCCTTGGAAATTTCCTAAAGCGCTGAGAGTTGGTTGGTAAATCACTAGTATCCGAAAACTGTCTTATCAGAGGCTCCTTCCCCGGTGCCCTACTCGCCCCCTAAAACAGGTGTCGCTGTGTCCCTTGAAGCGGCCTTTGGCCCGCTGGGGCATCGCAGGTGGGTAAAATTCAGAGGACATTCGGTGTTTATTTCTGGGGCCCCACGTGTGCAAACCAAACCCCCGGGGCCTGGGCGTGTGCGCGCGCTCGCGTGCCTTGTGTGCGGGCGGGCATGGGGGCGCTCGGCGCGGCTGGCGGGCGTGCGCGCGCGCGTTTGTGTGTGTGTGTGTGTGTGTGTGTGTGTGTGCTCGTGCGGGGGGCCGGGCTGCGTGCTCACGCGCTCCAGGCTGCGCCCAGAGCTCAGCTGCTGGGTTGGAGAAAAAGAGGGTAGGCAAGCGCAGGGGGCGGGCGGCCGAGGAGCGCTTTCGAATTAATCGAGCTAGCTTAGCTGTTTTTCCCTCTCCCGCTCCTTTAAACCCCCCTGCATCGTAGAGAGCGGGCTGGATTCTCTGTGGTGCTGATGGAGGAGGGGGAGCAGGTTGAAACAATCGAGTGGGCGCGCCAGGACTCCCCAGCTCCTGGCGGGGAAGGGAGGGGGAGCCCCTGTTCTGCGCAGGGAGGCGGCGGGGCTGGGGGGCCCCCGGAACGAGGAAGAGGCAGGGGTGACCGCTAGAATAGGAAAGTGCTCACCCCCGGGAGGCAAAATTTCGTTCAGATCGCACATTAATTGGAGATATCTGATTAATTCCAGCTTCTGATGACTATAAATGGCGATTCTCTACCAAGGTGTCTATATTAAAAAAAAAATCATTCCGTGTCATCCCCCACGTCAGGCCTGCTCGTGGGCGTGAGGCTGTACTTCCTCCGCCCCCTTCTAATGGAGTGAACCATTCCCAGCTCTCCCCCCCCCCTCAGCCTCTCTCTCTCTCTCTCTTTCTCTCTCTCTCTCTCTTTCTGTCTCTTCCTCGCTCCCTCTCTTTCTCTCCTCCCTCTGCCTTCCCAGTGCATAAAGTCTCTGTCGCTCCCGGAACTTGTTGGCAATGCCTATTTTTTGGCTTTCCCCCGCGTTCTCTAAACTAACTATTTAAAGGTCTGCGGTCGCAAATGGTTTGACTAAACGTAGGATGGGACTTAAGTTGAACGGCAGATATATTTCACTGATCCTCGCGGTGCAAATAGGTAAGTGGCCGCTCAGCCCGGCTGGAGGCTGGAGGCGGGAGGCAGCCTGCCCCGGCCCGAGGCGCGGAGGGGGACTAGCGGGTCCGCGGCCGCCCCAGGGTGCGGAGAAGCCGGCAATCCCCCGAGGGTGGGGGCATCAGTTCCTGGGGACTAGCGCGTCCCAGATCGGTTTTTCCTAAAGCTATAGATTCCAAATGTTCGCCAGGAAATGTGTGCGGCCGGACATTTTCTGGACACGGTTTTTTTCCCCCTTTTTCCTGAGCACACATCCATTTTTGTTTCCCTTTCTGGGTTTATACCAGGTTTGGTGCGCTCTGGGGCAATGTACTGGCCCCTGCGATACTGCAAGATATGATTTTGAAGAGTCGAAATGTGAATGCAGGAATAAAATGGCTAGGCAGCCAGGACTGGAAAGTTTATGTGCTGAAAGCAAAGATATTCCAGGGCTCAGACTGCTGCATTTAGAACTTTGTCATTCTCCCGCCCCTCCTCCCCCCTATATCCTAGCTGCAGCGTTTGCACGGGCACCGCAGACCCGGCTGGTGGGCAAATCGAGAGTGATAGGGAACTTCAGACCACATATTTTAACATGCTTACCATTGAAGAGGATGAATTCAGCCAAATTTACGTAGATATACTTTTCTAGATGCATTTGCCTGCTACTTTACACATTGGTGTCTGCATTTTATATATAGGAAAGGGTTAAGAAGTGTTTGGAATATGTCATGTCGGGTGTTTGTTATTTTTGTTTGTTTGGGATTGGTTATGGAAGGAATTATTTAGTCCCCATTTTATGTTAAGGAATGTTGAGTTGTAGTTACGCTGTCAGGGGTCTTTTTAAAGTTCACATTTTTACCATCCAGAATGAAGAAAAGATATAGAAGAGGGCACTAGAAAACCCCCTTCTCCGACACTGGGTCAGAACATTAATTAACGTGGCCTAAAAGTGAAAGTGAAGCAGGTTATTAATAGAATGGACAACACGGGGGAAAAAAGAAACTCCTGAAACGGAATTGTTACCTCCTATCAGTTCAGGCTGTGGCATTCTTTGCAGACAAATCCTTGCAGTATTGGGGGAGGGGGTGCTTTAGGTAATTGGTTTGGGGCAAGAAAGGAGAATGCATAATATGTTTTTTCCATAAGAAATGTGAAGGAAACAAGGTTTGGAGTTCTCTAGACCTTAAAATGGATTCTTTGCAGTGGGGTTTTATGCAACTGACATGATTTTGAGATTTTATAATGCAGAAACATTATAAAGATTTTAGAGTGTGTGAGTGCAGGATATTGGTGTTTTCCTTTAGTTCCAAAAAATGACAATGCTTTAAATCTGGTTGTTTTGAATCTTTGACATTAGTGAAAAGAGCTGCTGTAAATAATATTTCTAATGGCAGCAAATTCCTTAAATGTTGGAAATAAGTGAATGTGGCATTTTGCAATAAACCTTTGAATTTTTAGAGAGCAGGAGAGAGAGTTGTTTTTGAGATAGAAATTTTAATCGGACAAGATTTGGGACTCTGTTTTCCCGGTAGGAAATAACCTTACTTTGAGAGGTTTGGAGGGAAAAAAAAGACGGTGGTCGTGCCTGAGGGACGCGTTTTGAACACATTAACCTCGGTCCAAAAATGACTATTTGTTGACTGTGGAATTGAAATTGAACGTATTTGTTCCCTAATGTCTGCCCTTTCCTGCAACAGAACCTCGGTCTTTATTAATTCACGGCTGGGAGCTGTCCCAAATCATTGACATTTGGCAAGAAAAGTGGGGGTTGGGAGGGGCGGGGAGGTAGAAGAGTGTGGTGAACACGAAAGAAGACGCAGCAGGAGGAAGTTCGGAATGAATGAGAGGTCGAACGAATGAATGAACGGATGGAAACCGCACAAGAAGGGGACGGCAGAGAGGACAGGGAAGGAGCCAGGGTCACCCGCTAGAGTCTCGCCTAAGCGGGGTTCAGGAAGGACAGCGAGGGACCCACGGGCTGCGACCTGCTGGGACGCGTGCGCCTGCAAAATCCGTCCCGCGCGCAGCCTCCCGGCCTCCCAGAGAAGGCTAGAGTCCAAGGAGTCACAGTTTTAAAAGACAGAAATGTTCACGACTTATTTTACACAGCACACACTCACACATGCGCGGTGTGCAGGGTCTTCTCCAGCAGCGCCTGGGAAGATAACGTGACAAGAGCGCTCCCGCCCCCGGCGAGCCCCAATTCCCCTTAAAAAATGTCAATGCATTTTAGGGGCTTCTTTCGCCACTGAGTTTTGGGGGTGTAGGCAAGGGGTGGGGAGAGACGTGGACGGGGAGATTGGACTTTATTTTATTTCGTTTCTTCTCTGCAAAGCTGTATTTGTGACATGCGTTATAGAGGAAGATGTGTGGAGTGTATTTCCATTTTGAACGAGCTCTATCAGAACAAAGATTCGTTTATTCTTAAGATTTTACGTCAGTGTTCGATTTGTTAGTATTGTAGTCGCAAGGGTATTTAATGTTCGCTGTAAGGTGAACTCGGAGGTTTGAGAAGGTTTACGTATCTGCCCCAGCGGAGGTCGAAGTTAACCTCGGTCCCTTCCCCAGTGCTTCCCGTTCCGGATTAAAAAGCGCAAGGCCCGCCTCGCTCTTCCTGCAGCAATTTGCAAACGGGTACGCTCTCGGAAGCTGCTACGGGTTCGGTCACCTTCCTCTTCGGCGTCTGGCCCGGCGCTCGCGGACAGGCGCCCGCGTTGGGGGCCGGGGGATTGAGGTGTCCGGTCCTCCCGGGACACATTCACACACAAGCGCAGCCGCCAGAAAGCTGCCGAGGACCAGGCCGGCGCCCAGGGTCGTGGGCGCCAGTGCGGATTTCGATTCTGAGATTCACCCTTTCTTCCCCGCCCTAACGCTGTGCTTCTCTGGCGCCCTCCCGGCGCCCGGGCTGCTTTGGGCCGCTAGGCACTCAGCTTCCAGCCGGGTTCGTCGGCCTCAGGGCGGAAAGAGATGGCCACAGCCGCGCGCCCGCAGCCTGGTACCTGTCCTTCCAGTCCCGCGCCTCGGGGTTTGGCCGTCCAGAGGCCGGGGGCTTGGGGGCTTGGGGCTTGGACCTTCGTGCGGCCTGTGTTTCCTCCTCCTCCTCCTCCTCCCGCCGCTCAGCTTTTATCCCTGCCTGCTCTCTGCAGGGAGTCCTGAGCTGGGGCCAGGAGCCCCGGGCCGCGGCGAGCTCACTTTCAGCAGCAGGGCTGGCACCTGGAGAAGAACAGCCTCTCCCCGCTGCCGTCCGGAGTGTAGGCGGGCTTTTTGGCGGGCGGGTGGGTTGTTAAGGGTGTCTGGGGAGCCGAGTGGCGGACAGGGGAGGAGGAGAGAAAGAGGCCCGAGGTTCGTGGATTTGGCCTTTGCGGAGGTGACCCAGGCAGACTCATCCGTGACCCCGCCCGGCCTCTGGCCTTCTCCTCTCCAGACCACTCATCATCCGCGCCAGGTCTCAGGACGTCCAGGCTGCCCTCTTTCCAGCGGGGCGGGAGAGGGTGCATCCGAGGGTCTCACTCGGAATACAGAGTCCACGGTAGGCAATCGGTTTTATAATGAAACAATCCATTTCGGTAACTGCTGGTGGCTTCCAGGGACTATATTCGTTCATTCATTCAGCAGTGTTTGCTGAGCGCCCACCAAGGACAGAGCGCCAAGCCTGAGGCTTATTCTCGTGATGTGGCGTTGGGTTCAGCTGCGTGACCCCACGCCCTGTCGTCTCCCCACCCCGTTCTCGCCCCCGCACGCTGCAGCCGAGACCCCTTCTGTCACCTCAAAATGGAAGATCGCATTGCGAGAGCTGTGACAGGGCTTGCTGGGGAAGTGTTGGGAGACGAAGGAGGGAGCGAGGAGAAAGAGAAATAAAAGGGATGAGGGAGGTGAGAAGAGGGGGCGATGGAAACAGAAAAAGATACGGAGCGAGATGCGGGAGGGAGCTGGAGGAAAGGAATGGACTCACCTACCTCCCACCCACCCACACCTGCTCACACACCGACAATTTGCACTAGACGCAGCGTTAGCTGCAGGTCGGGCATTCCTGGGTCACGTCTTTCATTCACCTTTAACACTGGCGAGCCCCGAGGCTGGGCGCTGGGAGAGGCCGCCCGATGCGATGAGGCCGCGCGGAGCCAGGGTCTCGCAGGAAAGGGCAGTGGGCGGCAGGGCGGGGTCGTGGCGCTGCTGACCGGTGTTCCCTCCTCCCCGCAGCGTATCTGGTGCAGGCCGTGAGAGCAGCGGGCAAGTGCGATGCGGTCTTCAAGGGCTTTTCGGACTGTTTGCTCAAGCTGGGCGACAGCATGGCCAACTACCCGCAGGGCCTGGACGACAAGACGAACATCAAGACCGTGTGCACGTAAGTGTCCTCTCTGGCCGGCTGGACTTCGGTTTTGGGGGCGCTACTGAGGTCGGAGAGTGCCGAGCCTCCCCGCCTGCGCTCAGCGTTCAGCGCCAGCGCGAATCCGCATCGGCTCACTCTTGCCTTCTGGCTCCAACCCCCAGGCCTAGGACCAGGCCCCCGGGTTAGAACCTGCGCTTCCCAAGGGGATCCCACAGCCCGGGGTGGGATATGGAGGAGGATCCTTCAATATAGACCCAGTCCCAGCTCTACGCGGCCTCTCAGGCTTGCACAGAGGTGCGCATGCTCGACATGCTGGGAGCCAGGGCAAGGGGCATGAAGGATTGCTACAAAATCTTGGTGCTGCAAGATCTCTCTGCCTTGTAGCAATCTTGATCATTCTTTGCTCTTGCGTGAACGAGTGACCTGCCAGGTGTTCTCTGAAGAACAGTTAGTTTGGATTTGAGGAGTGTTTGGGGTAATACTACATTTGCCTAAAGGGAAAGTCACTCCTCTCTTCTGTCCATTTCTCGTGACAAAACGCCCCTCTAATACACACCAAGGAAATGCCGGCACAGGCAAGGAGATACAGGTCTCCCTTCCTGTTTTCTAGGAGACAGGCCGAAACGCTATCTTATTGTGTGCCAGTGACTTTACCCAAAAAGAGTGAGTCCAGGTGGTGGTCCAGTGATAGTCGCTTTGAGTTTACAGCAGATTCCGAGATTTGGAATAGGCACTCTCCTTGTTTCCCTTGCCCCCTCGCACATCTGTAAGGCGTCCCCAGACCTGGACAGCTTCAAAGGTAAAGAGAGATGGGTAGTAGTTCATAGCCAGGTCCAGTGGTGATTTCTCAGAGCTTGGCTAGAAAGCACTGCTCCCACGAGCAATAAGGTAACCAGCAGAGCCCTACTGCAGTGGACCTGCAGCAATCTAGCTGCTGCAGACCTTAGAAAACACCCCTGTCCTCTGCAACACCCATTCTTTTATTTTGCAAAAAACAGCTGTGTTCCCCCACCCCCAAAATAACTGTTTCAAAACAGCCAAGGCAGGTTGTGCCCCTTATTCCCTGAGGTTAGAGTGACCATTTTCTGTGGCATCATTTGTATACTGTGAAGTCTTTCCTCACTCCCCAACTGGGGCAAAGGGGACTGGTGGAAGGACGGGTGTTTGTTTAGGTTTTGCTAAATTAAATGGTGTCAATTTTGCTACTCTATTTCCTAAACGCCCCAGTGCCTACTAGGAGCCATAGCAGCTAAATGGCTAGTGCTTTCCTATCATGAAAGGGACAAAGTCATTTAATTCTAAAAGTCTCGTGATGGATAAGAATGTATATCTATAAGGATAACAAAAGGTTGCATATAGAGCAGCTCCCAAATCCTCTGTCATTTGGTGGAACTTGTTTATTCCAAGCTATTTTAATTTTAAGCAGAACTTCAGTCTTGGAAAACAGGAAAGTGAGAACTCCTTCCTGAGGTCACAGGCCACGGCTAGGTCCAGGCCCTACTCATTTGGGGGAGCTGTTTGCTCAACACGGAGCTGAAGCCCACTTCTGCCCAGCCCCAGGTGGAGTCTATCCTTCTCTACCAGGTCCCTCAGAACTCTGCCCTCATCTGGGCGTACATAAAAAAAAAAAAAAAAAAAAAAAAAAGAGCAATTTAGGCATCCTTTAGCAGGGGCAATTCCACAGACAGTCTGCAGGAAAGCTGTCCTCCCTGGGCCTCCTAATGTCCAAATGTTGCTGTTTATTACAAGTTGAGGAACCTGGAAGCTCTGTGTCCCTCCAGTACTCATAAATTAACACAGTGCCTGCCTTCAATGTGCTTACAGTCCAGGCCAGCCAGCAGAAGGAAGAGAGAGGAGAAAATACAACCAAACCATGTAGAAGGCAGGTGCCTGTGACCTGGTGCTCAAGGCCCGGGGCAGGTGGGGACCAGCCCGGAGTTACAGAGAGGCGCAGACCGACCCAGCTCTGAAAGGAGACAGCGCCCCAGGAATCGATCACGGGTTGGGATTATATTTAGTCTCAGGATCTATTTTGGGTTTTCAGAAGAAAGGGGGACAGTCAAAAGGGACAGGTTGGATGAAGGTTGTGGGGGTGGGTCTAGGAGCTGAGCCTGGGAGGAGGAAGTGGTTGAGTTAGGCGCCAGGCTCCGTGAACTGACCGCAAGAGGAGGACAGAGGGTGGGGAGTCCTCGAAGGTTGGCAGAGGTGGGCACCACGCCTTCCCCGCAGTTCCGGCCTTGGAGGCTGGCGCTACATCCTGAAAGCTGTGGGGAGGAAGCCCCATGGGGCCCAAGCCCACGGAAAAGACTGGGGAGGGAGAAACAGGAGGGACCCAACGCGCAGGCCTGGGACACTTGGATTCGCAAGAGCAGATGAAGGCTACGAGGCCGGCCCCAGGTGCTCGGCCACTAACACTCACCGACCCCGGGGAGAAGAGAGGCAGGCAGGAGTCTCCAGGCCGAATCTGAGCCGGGAACTGTGGAGAGCAAGGAGGATCCAGGCAGGTTGTGGGAAGGAGGAAGAGGAAGTGGGGAACAGAAGAGAGGAAAGCAGACGGAACGGAAAAAGAAAGAAAGGGAAATTCAGGAGAACGGAAAACAAAAGGAAGAGGTAGTAGGTGGAGGGAGAGAATGAGGGCGAAGGCGAGAGTACCGCGGCGTGGAGAAGGAGGGAGACAGAAGGGGCGAGGGGGAGGAGAATGTAAGAAGCCCCGAGGGGAGGGCCGTGCTCAGAGCTAGTAACCCATCTTGCAAGCTAAGAGGCATTAATGGGCGGCAGCTTGCGAGGCTTAGCACTGTTTTCCTAGCTTTCCCCGAGGAGGGCGAGCAATCTGTTTGCGGAGGCCGAGGTGCCAGCGCGCCACAGCGGGTGCACGGCCCGGCTCCCGGCTGCCTAGTCCTCTCCCGGCAACTGGAAGGGAAAACCAGACAGGAGGGGGCGCCCCCCCACCCCCGCTTTAGACAGCCGCTTCTGGGGTAGGCGGAGGTCCCGCGAGTCCCGACCTCGCGCAGGCCAGGCGCCAGGGCGGTGAAGAGAAGGTAGGGAGGGGACACCCCGGGAAGTTGGCGGGGCCGCCAGCGGGGAGGCGCAGGGGCGCAAGCCCGGGGTGTTCCCGGCGTCCCAAGTGAACCTGCTTGTTCTGTTTTGTTCTGTTCCTCACCAGATACTGGGAGGATTTCCACAGCTGCACGGTCACAGCCCTTACGGATTGCCAGGAAGGGGCGAAAGATATGTGGGATAAACTGAGAAAAGAATCCAAAAACCTCAACATCCAAGGCAGCTTATTCGAACTCTGCGGCAGCGGCAACGGGGCGGCGGGGTCCCTGCTCCCGGCGTTCCCGGTGCTCCTGGTGTCTCTCTCGGCAGCTTTAGCGACCTGGCTTTCCTTCTGAGCGTGGGGCCAGCTCCCCCCGCGCGCCCACCCACACTCACTCCATGCTCCCGGAAATCGAGAGGAAGATCCATTAGTTCTTTGGGGACGTTGTGATTCTCTGTGATGCTGAAAACACTCATATAGGATTGTGGGAAATCCTGATTCTCTTTTTTATTTCGTTTGATTTCTTGTGTTTTATTTGCCAAATGTTACCAATCAGTGAGCAAGCAAGCACAGCCAAAATCGGACCTCAGCTTTAGTCCGTCTTCACACACAAATAAGAAAACGGCAAACCCACCCCATTTTTTAATTTTATTATTATTAATTTTTTTTGTTGGCAAAAGAATCTCAGGAACGGCCCTGGGCCACCTACTATATTAATCATGCTAGTAACATGAAAAATGATGGGCTCCTCCTAATAGGAAGGCGAGGAGAGGAGAAGGCCAGGGGAATGAATTCAAGAGAGATGTCCACGGACGAAACATACGGTGAATAATTCACGCTCACGTCGTTCTTCCACAGTATCTTGTTTTGATCATTTCCACTGCACATTTCTCCTCAAGAAAAGCGAAAGGACAGACTGTTGGCTTTGTGTTTGGAGGATAGGAGGGAGAGAGGGAAGGGGCTGAGGAAATCTCTGGGGTAAGAGTAAAGGCTTCCAGAAGACATGCTGCTATGGTCACTGAGGGGTTAGCTTTATCTGCTGTTGTTGATGCATCCGTCCAAGTTCACTGCCTTTATTTTCCCTCCTCCCTCTTGTTTTAGCTGTTACACACACAGTAATACCTGAATATCCAACGGTATAGATCACAAGGGGGGGATGTTAAATGTTAATCTAAAATATAGCTAAAAAAAGATTTTGACATAAAAGAGCCTTGATTTTAAAAAAAAAAGAGAGAGAGATGTAATTTAAAAAGTTTATTATAAATTAAATTCAGCAAAAAAAGATTTGCTACAAAGTATAGAGAAGTATAAAATAAAAGTTATTGTTTGAAATGGGGGTGTCGTTTGTTTCCTACCCCAACCTGCTTTCTTGACCCAGTTCTCAGGGAACCTGAAGGGACACAGGATGCCGGTGATAAGCTCACCTCTTCAGGAAGCCGCTTCAAGCAGACCTGCCACCTTCAAGCAGACCCTCCTCACTTAAGCCACTTGGCCACTTCCCCGAAACCGTGCTTCCTTAAAAAAGAGAAAATGAAAGTTGTTTTTAAATTAATTACAAAGCAGAGATTCTTTCTGTTTGAGATTTAGAGGAACTGGGCTTGCTCGCACAGGCAGACAATGCCAGTGGCCGGCCGTCTGCCCCCGCCTCAGGCGGGCCGGAGCCCTAACCACGATCCTCGCAGGCTCGGCCTAACCACGATTCGCCTCTTCCTGTGCGGTGGCCAGAGGCAGCTTGCGAAGGAACCGCCATTAAGGGCTCCAGCAGAGGGGCCGAGAGGCTGTGTTCCCTGGCAGGGATCAGGTGAATCCTTTCATAATTAATAAGACAGCTCAGCTGAAATGGCGAGGAGACGGGCCCTATTGATCTGGCAGTGGGGCTGATTCCACCTCTCCTATTTATAGGCCCCGCATGGCCTTAAAGAGAAGTAAACATTCCGGAGTAAATGGGCAGAGGCGACCCGGGTCCGGGGACTGCAGGCCTGGAGTAGGCGGGGGAGAAAGAACTGCATGCAGGTCTCTGGGTTCAGAGAAATCGAAATCTGATTTCTTGGAGAAGGTGGCTGTGGGAGGAAGCTGCGGGGGCCCCGGGGGGGGGGGACGGGGGAAGGGAGGAGGATGGAGAGAGACCAAGGGGGCTGCAGCAGGTTCCCGCACGAAGCCCGCCGCCCGCTGCGGGGAGGGTGGGCCCGGGCTCTGAAATGCAATGTGTAAACAATTGCTAGTGTAACAGTTCATAAATCAAACCCAGTGAGTCGCAGCCCAATCTGCATTCCCCCCACGGATTGAATTCCAGCAACACATGCGTCCCTGCGCCCGGAGCGCTGGAAGCTGCACGGATTCTTAATGGCAGCATATATTACGGCCGCGCGTTCACGCACGCGCCGCTCGGGGCCACTCCGGGGAATCGTTTCGCCCGCTAACTCCCACCCAGTCCCCTCCTCCCGACGGAGGTCTCAGTCAAAACCCGGGTTCTCAGTCAAAACCAAAGCAGATCCGCGCTACCTGCGCGGGGTGGTCACCCACCAGCAAACGCTCGGGGTTTTGGAAAATAGTTGCATTTTGTTGGTTTCGTTTCAATGGTTATTTTCGGTCTGCGTATAAATAGGATGATTCTAACTGGAGTTCAACCCCTGGAATTCAAATTAGAATGTCTGTGCCTATCTTAAATACGAATCTATTTAACAAGGAGGAGAACCAGGATAAAGAGGGAGGGTCTTCTCCATTTTTGCCATCGTAGCACGCCGCCTCCTATCAGTATCTTTTCCTCTACATATTGGGGGCAAACAAGTGCTCACAACTAAGCCCATTGCTTGTCAAAATAAAAGGCAGGCGCCCTTCTGCTCCGACTGTGGAGAGAAGGGAAACCCCCCCACGACCCACAGAGGACGCCCCTCCCCTAGCAGCGCGGGCTTCCTACTCGGAAATCAATGTCCTGGAAGATCTAGGAAGAGGCAGGCTAAGGGCGGGGCAGAAGGGGCGAGGGGGCGGGGACTGGGAGCGCGGGCTGGTCTGCTCTCCTAACAGGGTTCTTCTCTAGGAACCCCTGGCTCCTACTGCTGTTCCAACTGCTTCCCAGACGGGGCCGCCCTAGAGGAAGGGCGCCCTCTCCCCTCTCTCAGCCCCTCCACGCGCTTCCAAGCCCCCACGCCACGGAGTCCCAGATCGCCCTGGGAATCTCCAAACCTTATCGTCCTGTCTGGGGCTCCCTTGTCTGTCCCAAGCCGAGGACCACGCTCACGTGAGCACGGAGATATCCCTGGGAACGCAGGGCCGCGAGTCTTGGAAACGCAGGCTTCCGCAACTGGAGCGTTAGAGAACGTTTCTTCTTGTGGTGATTGTTTAGATTATTATCGCGCCGTCTTCGGCTATAATTTGCCGTTTAATCATGATGACATCTCCATATGTTGGTTGATGTTACCGGTTTTAAGCAGCAAAGCTGCTAGCCTCGTTGGCAGTTCAGGGAGATGACATTAACCAGGGCGAGCATGCCCCACTGATGAGATGGTGGGAGTATTGGGAGTGGGACGGAGTGGGCTTCAGGCACAGAGGACATCGTCATACCTACCTCCTCCCCACGTCGGAGTAGCCTCTCCGTATCTTCCCACAGCCCGTGGCTCTTCAAGTGGCCCACTCAGGCTGGCTTCGAGCCTTTGAGGAGCTGTTGGGATTAGAGAAGGACCTCCTTTATCACATCCTCTGTCCTAGTAAGTTCAAGACAAGGTAGTTCACTTGAGTACCGTGTCTGACAATCCTTATTATGAACATGTCAGGCCAGTTCCAGAGCCCTGCCTGGGCCCGAGGAACTCCAGGGCCCGTGGGAAAGGAAATCGGACGGAGGGAGGAAACTGGCACGAGAAAAAGGACTCGAGCGTGGAAAATGGGGGACACGGGGAGAAACGAGGGGGAAAAAGATCCGGAAGTAGGGTTAGAAGGGAAGAAAGGTGGGCGATCACCTGAAACACAAAAGGAGATGATGGAGAAGCTTGGAGACGCAGATAGAGCTCTGGGCAAGAGCTAAGGGACAAAGATGACCTTGGGACTTATTTTCATTCAGAACCCCCAGAGAAGAAAAGGCGCACAAGAACCTTGACACAAATTCTCCTTCTGCGGACGCAGAGATCTTTCCACTGTAATCAGTACCCCCAGAGGGCCAGGGCCGCCGGGAACCTGGCGTCTTGGTGCTGGACGGACCGAGGCAGGAGCGCCAGCCCCGAGCCTTCTCCCGGAGCCCACCCCAGGAAATCCGATGAGTCAGCCAAAGATGGAGCCAGAGATTTCCCCCTTGCCGAATTCTCCCTCAAATATCAGGAAGGTATTCAACCATTATCTCCCCGCCACCCCCACTTTTCCCTACAATACACGAGCTCTAGCTTTCACGCTGGCCGTCCATCCTCTGGAGCTGTCTACCGCCCCGACCCAGGGGCACGCGAGGGAAGGATCCCTAGCCACTCAGAACACCTACCAGGGGAAATCAAAGCGTTGGTCTCCTCCCCATCACCGCCCCCCGCTCCCCTCCCAGACGTGAAAACGAAGTGGTGAGCTGGGGGTGGGGGGTAGGAACGGAAAGGAGCGGCTGAGGACGCCAGCTTAGGGCTCCGGAAGACACCGCACCCCCCACCCCGCCCACACCTCCACACCCGGTCCCAAATCATCGTACCTCCCTAGGCTAAGGAGTCTAGCAACTTTGTAATCTTGTAGCTTGTGGTTCCCCCACCAACCCCTCCACTACCCAAGAGAAGAACAGTGTAGAGAAAGCACCCCCTGCAGGGCCCTTTTGGAGGTTAACTCTTGGGCAGCCTCGGCCCCCAAACCCGAATGCCGGCGGGAGAAGAGTTAGCCCAAACCCTGCCCAGCCCCAGGAGAGGAACCTCAGCTTGGCCCCACCGAACTCCGGCCATCCCGGCAGGCGCACGGAGAAGGCCCTTTCTCCCCACTCCACCCCCACCGGGTGAGGGGAGGAGAGTGTAACATTTGCGCCCAGAGTTGCGCCCTGGAAGGACGCAGCCTTTAGTGTGGCTTCCAAGAGCCAGGACTTCGGAGCCGGAACACTCCTGTTCCCACCTGCATGACCATGGGCGGGATACTGAACCCCGCTATACCTCAGTTTCCTCCTCTGTAAAATAACGATAATAATACTTACCTCATAGGATTGTACCTTGTATCAAATGAGACAGTATAGGTAAAGCTCTTTCGGACAACATGCCAGTTACCTCGTGCTAGGTAGTACTAATTTAATTTCCTCAGGTGGATCTCACCGAATTCTTCAAAATAACCTTGAGAACCTCATTCTTTTAATATTTTGGGAGCAGTTATTCTTTATGGTAAAGCGTTTTAAATTCCTCTTACTGCAGGCTACTACCCAGTGATCCATCATCCTCTCTGGCCTTCTCAAAGGATGTTCTAGATAAGCTCCTTGAGTTCAAATAGCCAGGTCGCTCAACAATGTGTGCACCCCCAGACTCTACTCCACCCCATCCCCCTCAGTGCCCAGGCCAGACCCCTGGCTTTTGCTTTCTGCAAACCCCCAACTAGAGTGGCCAGGTTCTCCCAGCATGGGATTTCTCCTGTATCTTCCTTGACAACTTCTCTTCCCTGCCCCCGCTCACTCCCACCATTTATCTTAAATTCCTCTCCCAACATTGAAAAATGTAATGAAGTTATTGTAAACAATGAAGCAATTCAAGAGTACAGAGAGGGAAGAAAACATCCTCCCTCCACTAATAAATGGTAGCAGGTTGACGTGTGTTCTTCCATGCCTTTCCCCGTGCTGTTACACACATATACACACATACATATATGGAGGTTGGCTTTGGGTTTCGCTTTGTTTCATTTCTGCAAAATTGTAATATGTATTTCTCTGCAACCAAATTCCTCAAGAGCAATAGTTAAATATCTCCTTTTAAATGGTGACATAATTCCTTCTATTGATGAATATTTAAGTTTTTCAAGGTTTTTTGTACTGTATAAGTATTGTGTTCATAAATATTCCTGTTCAAACAACGTTATGTACTAGTATTTTAATTTCTTCAATACAATAGGCTTGATCAAAGTTGGATTGCTGGGCAGAAAGGTATGTATGTGTGCTTTTCATTTGAGAAGATGTTTGTTTACTTTCCCAAAGGATGTAGAGATTCCCTGCATCCTTATCAACACTGTATGCTAACACTTTTTGCCTTTTTTGTCAACCCAGTAAGTAACCTTGCTGCTCTGGAAGGTCAGGCTTTCCCACCATCTGCATTAGATTCCTTGGGTCCCTCCCAGGCCCTGATCACCACCAGAGTGTCCTCCTGCACTGGTGGGGAAGGGTCAGCTGGACTTTGGGTTCCCCTCCCCAGGAGCAGTGGCAAGGGCTTCGCAGGGAGTGACTTTTGTGCAAAGTCAGGCATAACTAGTCCTGGAAGACCCTGGCTCTCACTGGCTAATCTAATCAAAATGCCTCGGGGAGTTTAGGGCTTGGACCGTGCTGGGCTGGCTCAGTGAGTGATTGTGAACTGGCAGAGGTGGGGCTCAGCTGCATGTCTCCCCACTGCTCCTGCAGTTTCCATTCGGGACACTCAGCCTGAGCCAGCTCTGCACCGAGGCTGCGATCCCCCGGCCTGTCTGCAGTGGAGGGCCAGCGATGGAAGGAGGCAGCAAAGGAAAAGAAAACAGCAACCACAGAACAAGGGCGGCAAAGATGACAGCTGAACTTTTCTTTTCCTCTCCCACCCACCCAGAGAGTCTGAGAGGCTTCTGTGAGCAGGATCCAACCCATGGAGAGCGACAAGGAAGGCTGAACCATCTAGGGGGATTCAGGGTACAGAGATCTAGATTGCACTGTCTCTTCTCTCTCATCACTCCCACCCCACCACATTTACTCTAACTTTTTAAAAACTTTAACTTTCATTGAGCACTTACTACATGCTAGGTGTTACGGTGAAGCTTTACAAACATCATCCCATCTCCTTCACAATTTCTGTAAGAGGATTGTATTATCCCCATTTTACAGATGATGAGCTGAGGTTTGGAGAGAGGTTAGTAACTTGCCTAAGACCAGCAAGGAGCAAGAGCGAGAGCTGACCTTTGAATGCTAACCTGTTTGGGGAACCTGCCTTAAGAGATCACTTCGCTTTGCTTGTTCTATTACTATTTTGAGGCAAAGAAACACAAAGAAAAAACACAACAAATAAATTTAAGTCCTGTGGTAAGCAGAAAAACGTCCTTGCAAAAATGTCTGTGACTCAATCCCTGGAACCCGTAAATGTGTTAGTTAATGTGGTAAAAAGAGAATTAAGGTTGCAGGTGGAATTAGACTGCTAAATCGGCTGCCTTTAAAATAGGGAGTTTATCCTGGATTATCCCTAGAGGCCAATGTAATAACAAAGGTCTTTAAAAGTGGAAGAGGAAAAAAGAAGAGGTCAGAGTCATGTGATGGGAAGATTCAACCCACCCTTGCTGGCTTTGAAGATAGAGGAAGAGGCCAGAAACCAAGGAATTTGGGCAGCCTCTAGAAACTAGAAAAAAAAAAAAAAAGAAAACTGATTCCTCCCTAGTGTCTTCAGAAAGAAATGCGCCCCAGTGATTTTAGCCCAGTAACCAATGTCAGACTTCTGACCTTCAGAACTAATGGCAAGATAATAAAATCCTATTATTTAAGCCATCAAATTTGTGGAAATTTGTTAAAACTGCAAATAGAAAACTAGTACAAGTCATTATTTGCACTGTACCAGTTTAGTTAAGGGAACACATCACACCAGTGAGGCCTGAGGGTTCAGGATGTATGTGTACTAGGGATTTCTCAGGGCCCTTCTTTGTCCATGTGTGCATTCAGAGGAGACAGCAGCTTCATTTCAACGTGGGGTGATGGTGTTTGTGAGAAAAAGAAGACATTGTAGAATTAATTTCTAAGGACAAAAAACAAAACAAAACAAAACAAAAACCTTGTGTTGATTTTTCACAATGTCTCGTCATAGAATCTTTTTTTGTTATTTTTTCCCCTATGTTGTGCCCTTTTTAGCTGTAAGACCTTCCTGTTTTCTTTCTTTCCCTCCAGTAATTTAATGGACATGCAGTTCTATTAAAGGAGTTATTGGTTTCTGTAACCATCACAGGCCTGCCCAGATATGAAAAGTTCATTGTCACAGTGATAGATGACTTGAGATACATTCATGAAAAATCTATCACCAGGTAGTTATTCTCTCGATAAATCACGGCGACTAATATTAGCTACATACCTCATCACCTGGACAAATCACATGTTGAATTGCTTTTAATGGGGGTTGCATTTCCAACTTTTACATTTCCCAGGACACAGAAGGAATGGGTTCAGTCTCTATGGAATGCCTAGAATGAATCCCTTGCTGTGGATGTGGTAAGAAGGGAGAAACACAGGAAGACACCAAACCAGACAAACCTCAGGCAGCCACTGCCTTTCACATCGAGAGACACTCCTTAAAATAGTCCAAGTCCCTAGTAAAGAGGAGAAGGGAGAAAAGGACATGTTTGTCCATCCTTGATTTGTTAATCAAGTCACAAATTGCTTTGTTTACATTAAGACACCACCATGGGAGTCTCTTCTTGATTAAGAAAGAAGCAACACCAAACAAGCAAGCTTGTGGGGATGCCAGGCTGGATAATTAACTTCAGCGCGCCTTCCTGACCCGGTTGCCACAGACTGCAGTGCCTGGGCCTGCCTCAATCTTTCCATTTCCTGGGAGGGTCAGCTGAGCTTCAGCAAGTGACTATAAAAAATGGCTTTCATAGTCCTCAAAGTCCTCTGCTTGTCTCCTCAGGGTGTCACCTGAAACAAGTTGGATTGCGCTCTCACTGAGGCAGGGAGAGAAATCCCAAGCAAAGTGGGTCATTTAACTCTGGCCAAACACAAATTCTTCAAAACAGGCAACTTTGAAGGGGATAAGGAACATCAAAGCACATGGGAGGCACATCCATCAATCCCTGTCCAGAGACATGATGGTCCAGCCATGTGGCAGCCAGGTCTCCCAGAGGCTTGTATACTCTCAGCCGGCCTGGCAGTCATGTTGGTATCACGCACACCTTCCACCTGTTGCACTGCACCCTTTGTGCAGCGTGTTTTCCTGTGTAACCATTCTTCTCCCATCCTCTTGTAATATTTTCTGCTCTTTGGAACATAACATGGGGAAAACTGCATTTCCTCACTTGCTTTGTTTATTGGGGTTGTGGTATATTGTTTCCTATTTCTGAATAGCCCTTGGACACTTTTGTAGATGGCAGAGAAAAATGCCTCCAATTCTGCCCAAATCTTTATCTTCAGGAGTCACTATAAATTCAAATCCAAAATGTGCTCATGTGTACACATTTATACAGATGTTCATATATTCTCTAATTTAGATATTTTCTGGGACACAGATACATACACACACACACATACACACTGCATTTGCAAACCTGACCTTATTCCTTCTGATTGGCTCTTGGACCTCATCTTTTATCTTTTCCATTGGTTTTGACATTTTGTGTTTCATTCTCCACATGCTCCTTCCCCTGAGCTTACAAACACACTCAAATCTCTTATAGCCTAAAAAAAAAAAAAAGGCCTTCCCTGTCCATCCTTTTACTGCACGCAGCTGTTTCTCCATTTCTCAGCCATTTCACAAATACATGATTGTAAGTTCCTAGAACAGTGCCCAGCCCAAGGCAAACACTCAGCAGATATTGGGAGACTATATGAATGAAATCCTCTCCTTCCCCTTTTTGCCAGCTTCCTCCTGGCTGGCCTCCAGCCTGTGGCCTCCAGAGCCAGGTTCCTCCTTACCAATGGCAGACACTCCACTCTCATTGGCCTCCTCCTTTTCCCCCATGTGTATCTTACCCTTTAAACACTATTTTATGTATTCTATTTTTAAATTTTCACCACATGTCCACATTCACTATGGGAAAATTAGAAACTGCAGGTGACTCAAAGGGGAAAAATGTAAAATAGTCATAATTTCTTCAACCAGAGACACACATTTTGGTCTCAGTGTCTCTGGTATTAATTCTCCCATTTCCACATGGGTGTGAAAATGTCGTTTCCCTCCTTTAAGAACCTTCATTTCCTTCCCATTGCTGAATCATTGCTGAGTGACTCTGACTCCCTGCGTGACACCGAAGATTCACCAGGATCTGGTCCCATCTCATCTTGCCAGCCTTCTCCCCAACCACAGCCCTCTATGTTTCCCACGCACGTGCTACAGCCGTACTGACTTCCTTCTTGCTCCTTCAACCTATGCAACCCCTCCTCTATTCGATGCCTTTGCTTATTTAGTTCTTCCAGGCTAAAATGTATTGCACTTCCACCCCAGCGCCTCCCATCCACCCTTGCATGTCCTATTCCTTCAAGATCCTTCTCAGGCTCAACCTTGCATGAACACTTCCCTGATCCCCTGGTCAGAATTATTGGGATGGCCCTCAATAACCTCTTGTTGTTCTTAATTTTGTATCCCAATTAGAGAACTGCTGATCCGTTTTGTCTTTAAACCATACGTTCCTTGAGGTCAGGGACTATGTCTCACCCATCTTTGAACCTCCCACAGTATCTGGCACTGTGCCTGGCACAGATGATTATTGAGTAAAGAACATTTCCAGTCCTTACCACCTCACACATATGTAGTTGCATGTTCTAACTTTAAAATAAATAAAGGTGTTGCTAATGCCAACACTTCTCTGGGCTACTTCTTGCTAATGCCTTTTCTCCCTCAGAAACTCCTCCTAGGCAGCATGCGTGTGTATTCCTGGTGAGTAGAGGCATAAAATTGTTGGCTGCATGTCATGGAGTACCTACCAATGGTTAGAAACAAAGGAACAGACACATCCATGGCAATGCAGATAAGAGAGAATGAAAAAATGGTGGCTAAAACAAAAGGGAAAGAGAAAAGAAGCAACTGAATACATCCTGTTTATGCCTTTCAGAACAACTAGCTCAACATTTCATTAGCTTGTTATATTTTTTCACGGGCTACAGGGAAACCTGAAGGACTCATGGTCCTTCTTTCATTCCTTCTTTCTCATTCAAGGAACTCTTGAAATCTATAACTTTCCTGGCCCCTTGTTTGAAGAGGAGAGTTTTCCATGTCTCATCTTCACTCAGACTACGCGCTTATCATCTAATGCATACACAGTGACTATGCACATGGGATCCGGCCTCCAAAAGGGCCTCCAGTGAACTTGACTCCTGGTATATGTGCCTGTGTGTAGTCACTTTGCACAGTGAATCAGGGCTGGCTTTGTGTAACCAATAGAATATGAATAAATTAATGAAATTTGACTCCCAAGGATAAGTCATAAAAGGTATTGCAGTTTCCTCCTTAGTCCCTTGGATTACTTTATTTGGGGGACGCCAGCTGCCATGCCATGAGGCACTTAAGCAGCCTTGTGGAGAAGCCCACATAGAAAGGAACTGAGACCTCCTGCCAACAGCCAGCACTGACTTGCCAGCCTCAAGAGTGAGCCATTTTGAAAAGTAGATCCTCCAACCCCAGTCAAAACTTTAGACGGCTGCAGCCCCAGCTGATATCTAACTGTAATTTCATGGAGACTCCGAGCCAAGACCATCCAACCAAGCTGTTCTGAAATTATTTACCCACGGAAACCATGAGAAATAATAAATGATTGCTGTCTAAGCCACTGTCTAAGGATAATCTGTTATGTAGCAACAGATAACTAATAAAGTGTATCTGGCATATTCTTTCATTTTAATCTGTAATGTTTGTTCACTTGTCCCTGTGTGTTCGTGTGAGTTTTGATAGGTTTTGTTTGTAAGTTTTTTGTTGTTGTTGTCGTTTTTCGAGACAGAGTCTTGCTCTGTCACCCAGGCTGCAGTGCAGTGGCATGATCTCAGCTCACTGCAACCTCCATCTCCTGGGTTTAAGCGATTCTCCCATCTCAGCTTCCCAAGTAGCTGGGGCTATAGATGTGCGCCACCACACTGAGATCATTTTTAATTGTTTTTGTAGAGACAGGGGTCTGCCTATGTTGCACAGGCTGGTCTCGAACTCCTGGTCTCAAGTGATCCTCCTGCCTCGGCCTCCCAAAGGGCTGGGATTACAGGTGTGAGCCACACCATACCCAGCCTTTAAGATTTTTTAAAACAAGGATTTTAGAGATTTAAGTCATTTTGTATAGCAAATAGCAAAATTCTTTGAGCATCTAAAGTCTTTAAACAATGATTCCTGTCAACCAGGAAGCGGTTTCAGAAAACAGCAGTAAGTATACAAACAGGAGAAGAGTCATAAAGAGAAGTCATGTTACTCAAAGATGAGCAGGGAAACACTGCAGTGATTAGGTCTGAAAGAGTAAATGGGAAAATGGCAACCACAACCGGGCCATTATGACACTATGCTGCCCTTTGCATAGCTGGAGACACCCCCAGAAGCTGAAGGGAAAAACCTTGTTTCAACTTTCCTCCCACCTTCCAATCTTCTGCCAGAGCCTCCCATTGGCAAAAGCTAACAAGAAGCAGTAGGCAAAGGAGTCTGGAAAGTGTAGTTTTCAGGCTTCCTGCCCTGGCAATGGAGAAAAGATATATTAATAGATAGGGCAACCATGGAGCTGAGCCAAAAACACACTCCTTATCACCGGGAACAATAACAGACATAAAGGGGAAAAAAATGTATGTGTTTGAAGGGGCTCTACTCAAAAATGAAGTAGCCAACCTGAGAGATTAGAGAAAGAGGAATTCAGATGCTCCCACATTCATCTTCCGAGATGTATCCCAGGAGCCGGCCAAAAGACTGGGAACCCACTATAGGTATAGACCTCTAAATTCTTCAAATGAGCTGCCACAATAAAGCCCTTTTCAGTAATTGCAGTAGAGCACCCCTATTAAGAAGAGCTAACACATTGGACACATGATGGGTCAGGTGCTGTTCTAACTGCTTTTCACTTAACTAATTTAGCTCATCAACATCTTCATGATGTTGGCCCTATTGTGATCCATTTTACAGGCGAGCAAGCTCAGTCCTAGAGAAGTTAAGTCACAGAGATGGTGTCAGAGTCAGGTCCCAATATGATAGCCTGGCTTCAGAGGCCGTGTGTTTACCATTCCATTATCCTGCCTCTCACTTGCTGAACCTATGCCCAAAGTTTATTAGAAGAGATGAACAACACAAAAAGGAACTAGAGAACAGGCACTGTAGAAACCCAACTCCTGAGCTACAGGGCCAACCTTAGACTCAGCTTGTCCAAATGTTGACTGACAGACAACCCATTAATTCCTTTAGAAAAACCATGGTTTATTGAATATCTGGTGCTCTTTTTCTGAAATTCTGGAAGACCCTTCTAACTCTGGAAATATCCTCTGCAAACCAAGTGTGGAGGAGGGTTAGCAACCAGTACTCAAGAAGGACTTATGCATGTGAGAGCCATGTGCTTGGGCAGTAATGAGAGTCCATGCAGAACACTAAAATTAGGGTGCAGTTTCCTGCTACCCTATACTCAGGCTGAACACATGGAGCTGATCATTTCAACAAGCTTGCCTAGCTTTTCCTTTTGATGGAGAAACACAGTGGGAAAAGATTGGTTCTTCAGAAATTTCATTCCAGTGTCTTTGACAACTTCATTTTTTTCGTTTTTGGGGGATTTATCTTGTTTTTTAAACAGCAGGTGATTTGCACCATTTTGAAATAATCAGTGCCTTTCTCATCATAGCTTGAGAGAGACTAGGTTAAAGAACTAGAGAGAGGAGCCCAGAGGGTATGGAATGCATCATGCAGTAGCACCAGACTCTTCTATCAATTACCACGTTTTCTGAAGGTGGTGTTTCATTCTTGGAAGTTTCCAAGTTGGGCCTGCCTGTTAGGTTTTAAAAGGAGCAGAAGGATAATAGTGGTGCAAACGGCTTTACAAATATTTTTGATGGCAGATCTGCAATATCTAGGTCTCACTGAGTCAAATACCAGAAGCACTGATGCTTCTTGCCCACCCTTTCCAGTGGAGGGAGGAAGGGCCCTGCTCCACTTCGACCAGAGCAGTCAGCAGCCTCTTCAGGACGTTGCTGGGTGCTGGGTTGCATTGTACAAGGCTACCCAAAGTGGGTCCAATTCCTGTCCTCTTGGAGGGGCATCTGAAGCAGAGAACATTGACATGGGAACATAAAGAATGACATAGCTGTAATTATGTAAGCTTAATATAAGACACTGGTTTTCATGTAGTTTATGAAAATAATGTTCATTGTTTTATAGTCATCCCAACTACAGACTTGCATAATAAACCAATCAGCATTCCCTTTGCTATATTTTCCCTTGTTCATAGCCACAGGAGAAAAATTGGGATCCCCTAAGTAAAAATAAAAAAGACCTATTATTTTGATGACCATGGTCTCTGCGTGGTTGTGGATGAAGGGGTGAAGAAAAAGAAATTATTACACAATAGCCTTTCTCAAAATGAATGGCTTGTTTTAAACAATGTGTTTTTCTTGGCAAGTTCAGAGCTACTACAAAACAACCATCACTGCTGAAACCTTGCAGAACCAGCAGGAGCGAGTTATCTTCTCTTGCTCAAGGGACACGCCAACTGTGAACTCTTCCCTCCTCACCTCCTGGCAGGGAGATGGGTAATTCCAAAGCTCATATATACCCCAAAGTAGCCTTTTTAGGTTTTGTCCCTCTCCCTTTGGGTCTTTTATAACACAGCTGTCTACATGAAGAGAAGAAAGTCAGCACCAAGCTGATGGACTCTAAGTGATCACAGATACAAAGAGACAGTGGTTTCTGAGTAGGTGCAATGTTATGAAACAGGGTGAAAACTATCAAGCACAGGTGGGTGTCTGCTACTGAGAGGGACTGCAAAGAGCCGAGACAGCCCATCAGGGTAAGGATCATTTGCTCTTTCTATAATGTGTCTCTCCCTACTTGATCCAAGGCCTGCCTTTTTCTCTTACCCCACTGTTTACCTGCTGTTTCTCTGCCTTGCATGCCCCACGCTCATTTAGCCTTCATGCCTTTGAACTCATTATTTCCTCTGCCTCTCCCCAGAGTCTTTGTGTGGAAGGCTCCTTCCTGTCATTTTGTTTCAACCTCAATGCCACCTCTTCGGAGATACCTTCTCTGACCTTTCATTGTAAAGTGATAGCCACCTTCTCCCGGAAATCCTCCCAGCAAACAGGCACTATCACATTGCCTGATTTTGTTTCATTTACAGCATTTGACACTTGCACAACTAAAAAAAAATTGCTTTATAACATTGCTTCATACTCTAAGTTTCGATTCCCTGGGCAAAGCTGGGCCCTAGGCCTTGGGCAGACAGTCTTCTGTGCAGTTTTCTGTCTCCTAAAGGTCTTGAGTGGTCACCTCCAGCCTCTCCCCTGCTCCCCTCTGCCTTTGCATCACTACAGTTCCACATCCAGATTTTATCTTCACCACTCAGCTCACATCTTGGTCTCTTTCTTTTGAAGGTGGAGTCTTGCTCTGTGGCCCAGGCTGGAGTGCAGTGGCTCGATCTCAGCTCACCACAACCTCCGCCTCCTGGGTTCAAGCGATTCTCCTGCCTCAGCCTCCCAAGCAGCTGGGATTACAGGCATGTGCCACTATGCCCAGCTAATTTTGTATTTTTAGTAGAGAGGGGGTTTCTCCATGTTGATCAGGCTGGTCTCAAACTCCCAGCTTCAGGTGATCCACCCCCCTCAACTTTCCAAAATGCTGGAATTGCTGGTGTGAGCCACCGTGCTCAGCCAACATCTTGGTCTCTTTTGCTCTTAACAGTAAGCAGGCCTCGATATAGGACCAAGAAGCAAGTGCTGGGCACCTCCAGAGGATCCCATGTGGCTGCCCTCAATCATCCAGAAGAGCAGAAAGTAAGCTGATACAAACCACGTTCTTCATGGCCTGCGATGGGGCACATGAACCCATGACTGCATGAGTAAATGTCGCCGCAGGGCTCTGTGTGGAGTGTGACTGGGGGGGTGTGGATCCTTAGCAAAATGAATCAAGAGGCAAACTTTGCCTGTGATGGCAACACCACTCAGGTCCCCCACTTCTCCTGTCTTTGGGGTTGACTTGCTCCAGTTGGAAAGCAGCTTCCCTGAAGCTGCTTTTCCTGCCCTTTCTCCCCCAGGAAGCTGACGGGAGGAGGAAAATGAAGTATCTGATGCAGGGCTAAGGTTAGACAGAAAACATAAGAACAAGGAGGAAAAGAAGCCCTCTGAGACTCTTGGGTGAGGACATTGAGGGACAGAATATATATTTCTAGGGTCCCTAGTTGGCATTCGGAACATTTTTCCCCATACACCAGTGTTTCTTAACCAGAGGTAATTGTGTTCCACAGGAGACATTTCGTAATGCCTGGAGACAGTTTTGCTTGTTACATCTGAGAAGGGGGTGCCACTGGCATCCCTGAGTAGAGGCCAGGCATGTTGCCGCGCATCCTACAATGCACAGGACAGCCCTTGCCACAAATAATTGTCTGTCCCAAAATGTCAGTAGTGCCAAGGTTGAGAAACTATATCATAGAACAATGATGTATTTGGTAATTTTGCTTAATAACTCAACCATAGTGGCTTAAATAGGTTTTGAAGATTTCCTGTATTTATTCATTTATTTATTTTGACAGGGTTCCCCTCTGTCACCCAGGCTAGGATGCAGTGGCACAACACAGCTCATTGCAGCCTTGAACTTCCAGGCTCAAGTGATCCTCCCACCTCAGCCTCCTGAGTAGCTGGGACTACAGGTATGCACCACCACACCTGACTGATTTTTAAAATTTTTATAGAGATGAGTTCTCGCTATGTTGCCCAGGCTGGTCTCAAACTCTTGTGCTCAAGCAATCCTCCCGCCTGGGCCTCCCAAAGTGCTAGGATTACAGGCATGAGCCACTAAGCCCGGCCAAGCTTGACTTTAATATCTCGCTACATGTCTCTACTAGAGAGTATCTTTTAAGCTTCACTTGGTCAAATAACAGTAATTACATGGCTCACACATAGCAGGTACATACATCACTTTGTTCATTTCCTTCACAGCACTAATCATAAAGGGGAACAACCTTTTAAATTTGCTTAATTAATAGCTTTCTGCTCCAACTAGGATACAACCTCCTAGAATATTGCCTGATCTAGAGTAGACACTCAATAAACATTTGCTGAATGAATGAATTCAGACAGTTAGCTACTGCCTGTTTCTTCTTATAGGCAGAAGCCATCTCTCGTGTATGTGTCTATATCTATAGCAGCTAGCGCAGATTTTTATATATACAGAAAACTCAACAACTGATCTCTGAAACCATGAATCAAGGCGTGTGAATGAATAAATGAGTTAATTAATATATAAATGAACAGGCAAACAGTACTAATATTCCTATGTCCACTGTGAAAAAATTAGTAAGCATGCATGCTACTACAGAGGATATTTCAGAATGCATGGTGAGTTTAAGGGCCTTGTTCTACGCTCCAGCTTCCTCTCTGTAGAACTTTCTCCCCGGGAGTCAGGTGAAGAGTACAGATTGAGTGCTAGAGACAGTGGTTTTCAGCAGAACTCTGAACCTAAGCTAAGGAAGTGATGACTCCTCTCCCTTCCTAACTATTTTCTAAGAATGTTTTGGCCCTCTGCCATCAAAGGATGAATGCTACAAGTAGTGTAAGTTAGTAATATGGCGAGTGTGATGATTCAAATGGCTCAAAGGAGGCAAAAAAAAGTCTTTGTTGCACAGTTCTCTTTCCTATTCTTTTCTATAAATAGCATGTTGATTTTTAAGAGCTGCCAGATTTTATAAACTTCTTTTCCAGAGTGATTTATTAGTGTCAAGCATTACTATCATCCTGTAGTTCTAAACTCCTCTCCTGTGGGCAGTAATTTAGCCCTAGTTTTTTCTCTGTGATAAACCTTTGCATGATTCGTGAGTCTCTAATTAGGGATCATAGTTTCCTTGCAGGTCTCTGCAAAGAAACAGCCAACAATCTCAGGTTAAGAGACTCAACACAAGAGAGAAACCAATTTTGCAAAGTGTCCCAATAATGTCTCTCATAGAACTTTTTCTCCCTGAGCCAGGATCCAAAATAGTGTCATGCATTGCACGTAGCTGTCATGCCTCTTTAGTCTCCTTTAATCTCGAACAGCTGATGGGGGCATATTTGCAGCGAGTATCCATTAAAAAATACTTACACTCTCCAGATACATCAGCTTGGTTAATTGGAAAGCTCTTTAATAATTGTTTTAGTACATAAAATTAAGAGTTTCCACAAGAATAATTAATCATACAGTATTTTATAATAAGAAATATTTATATATCAACTGACTACGGAATTTCAACTTGCAAAGCACATAAATGGATTTTTCACCCTGAGTTACATCTAAAATGCTTACCTATATTTGAAAGTGATGGAAAGCTGGTGAGTAAATATTCCCCTATTCTGTTCCTTGGGTGGACAATTCTGAGACACATTCTACACATTTTCTAAGAAGGTTCTGGCAGCATTGAGATGCATGTGCTCACAAAGGTGTCAGTCTCAGTCTGTACGGGCTGCTATGACAAACATGCCACAGCCTGGGTGGCCAGCATAGTCAGGTTCTGGTGAAGGCTCACTTTCCTAATTCTAAGACAATGTTCTTGTTGTGTCCTCACATGGCAGAAGGGGAAGAAGTGAGAGAGATATTTGGGGTCTCTTTTATAAGGGCACTAATCATTTTCATGAGAGCTCCACTCTCATGACCTAATCACCTTGCAAAGAACCCACCTCCTAAGACCATCACCTTAGGGGTCAGGATTTCAACATACACATTTGGGGGATCACAAACATCCAGTCCATGACAGTGACCAAATTAAGAGCTCACCCTTGCAAGGATCCAAGAAGGAAGACAAAAAAAAAAAATCAGTTAAAAGAAAAATATGATAGGAAAGTTGAAAGACATTGAAAATTGAAAGACATTGAAAATTGAAAAAGATTCACTCATGGAAACTCCAGAAGGAGAGAACAGAGAAAATAGGGGAAGTAATTGAAGAAATAAAATAAAATTTCCCAAGCTGAAGAAAAGCACCAGTTGTCAGATTGAAAAAGCCTGCTGAATGACATCTCCAGAGAGAAGAAAGCCAGTTACCTACAATGAAAAGAGACAAAAAATTGGCATCGCGCTTCTCATGTCAACATGGATATTAGTCAACTATGTGGCAAACCATGGCAATAGTTCAATGGGTTGGTGGTGAAACCCTGTTGTTGTTTTGTTTTGTTTCATTTTTGAGATAGGGTTTTGCTATATCATCGAGGCTGGTCTTGAACTTCCTGCCTCAAATGATCCTCCCCCCTTAGCCCTTTCATGTATTTCCTTCTTGGAGAGAGCTGTGTCTTCATTTTTCTCTCCCTGATTGTTGTAGCAGTCTGGAGTTATCTTAAGCTCTGCTTTTCTATTCTAGGCCCCTACACCAGGACGCCTTAAGGGAAGGAAGTTTGCTTGCTTCAGAGTGTAGTTCTCCACTTTTAACCTGGGATCAAACACGTGTGTTGTGTGTATAAACCAGGAGACAGGAGAGAGATGGTTTCTGGGCTGTCCTCTCTGACCTGATGCAGCTGTTTATGACTCACTAGAAGCATTGCTCCATGGCTACTTCTCTTCTTGTTCCATTTGTTCTCTCTAAGTTTGGAATTTCCCCAATTGGCCTTTCACTCACGGGTGTGTCGGGATGTAGTTTTCTGTTCACGCCTGTTATCAGTCTCCTCTCATTCATTTCTATCTTCTTTCCAGGAATGTCTCGAATTTCCTGGTCTTTTAATGGTGGTTTCATTTCATGTTTTCCTAGAATGCTGTAAATGTATTCTTTCTAAAATATAGCTTTTTATTTTAATAGATTCAGGATTGGAGGGAAGGTGAAAGCTTGCACTGTTTGTCAACTAGATCTAATATCATTCATGTGTATATATATGTATATCTGTTTTATATTTTTATTTTGTGTACTATAGAAAAATTATATTGTGAAACATACATTAATAAATTGCATTGTATGTGTTATTTTATAATCTCTTTTTCACTTGGCATTATACTTTTAACACTTCCCTATAGAAAGACTTCATTAAATTTTTCTCAAATGTAAAGGACAACACCATGGGTAAATTTAACACATAACCAGAAATAGGACACTAAATTTAGGAGCTGTTAATTAACTAAATTGAAAAATGCGTGATATATTCTTTTTCTTTCTTTAATGCCAGATCTTAAAATGTTTGGATCTTATCCAACCAAAAAATTGATCAGATTATCAATGTATTTGTTAATTCAGTTGTTCTGAAGTCCAGTTGTTTTAGTTGCTTAATGGCCAGTTATATGCAAGAATCCAGTGATACAAGATCAAACATTTATTCTGGCTGGGTATATTTTTTGAATTTGGCTATATTCGTAACATGAAGTGAAGATGCAAAGAAATTGCACAAACATCTCTGTTAGAAAATGTCTGTGTGGAAAAATCAGAACACATGGACTGTGTGTATAAATTTGAAAGCCTAGGGAAATGAAATAGCAGGCAAGTGAGAAAACTCCTTCTCCTCTCCTGGAGACTTTTTCCCCCACTCTGAAAAAACAGGAAAAATATATAATCTGAACCCTCTCCAAAAGATCCAGAAGAAAGGATATACAACAAGGAAAAGCAACTTACATTATAGTTGATGACTCTAAGAAAAAAAGGGAGCGCAAGGAATAAAATAATGACATTGAGACTCTGAGCAAAACTCAGTGGGGAAGGGTAATAATGTTCTTTGAGAGTGTGCTAAAATATAAAGGAATTCTCCAAGAAATGGCAATCACTGAAGCTCTTAAATATCACAAGCATAAGGCTAGAGACTTTACAAGAATATCTTTCTGATTCACAGAGGAGCTCACTCAAAGTTCTAAAGAAAATCTCTAGCACCACCACCCCCCACCTCGATTAATGAATATCTTTGAGGTAGGCAGAATAATGGACCCACAAATGTGTCTCCTTTTTTTTTTTTTTTTTTGACACGGAGTCTTGCTCTGTTGCCCAGGCTGGAGTGCAGTGTCGCAATCGTGGCTCACTGCAACCTCTGCCTTCCAGGTTCAAGCGATTCTCCTGCCTCAGCCTCTTGAGTAGCTGGGATTACAGGCACACACCATCACGCCTGGCTAATTTTTGTATTTTTAGCAGAGACAGCATTTCACCATGTTGGTCAGGCTGACCAACTCCTGACCTCGTGATCTGCCCGCCTCAGCCTCCCAGGGTGCTGGGATTACAGGCGTAAGCCACCACGCCCGGCCAAATATGTTTACTCTCTATCCCCCAGAATATGATACCTTCCATGGTAAAGGGACTTTGCAGTTGTGATTAAGGTTGAATATTTTGAGATAGAGAGTGTATCTGAATTATCCAGGTGGACTCTATAATCATACAAGTCCTTAAAAGTGGAGAACCTTTCCCAGTTGCAAGTGAAAAGATGAGAGGGGAAAAAAAGGAAGAGAGATTCACAGTATGAGAGGGACTCAGCCCACCATTGCAGGCTTTGAAGATGGAGGGAGAGGCCATAAGCCAAGGAATGCAGGGGCCTTCAGAAGCTGGGAATGGCCCTCCACTGACAACCAGCAAGGAACTGAATTCTGTCAACAACCCAAATTAGCAGGAAATGGATTTTCCCCCAGACCCTCCAGAAAGAAACATAGCCTATTAACACATTGGTTTTAGTCAAAGAAACCCATGTTGGTCTTCTGACTCACAGAACTGTGAGAGCATACACTGGTGTTGCTGAAGCCACTAAGTTGATAGTAATTTGTTATGGCAGCAATAGAAAAGGAATACAACTTTGATCCAGCGTTCTCTACCAAGTAGGCTCAGATTAAATGAAATATTTGAAACCTGGATTTCTACATATGAGTAGAGTTTGTTGTTGTTGTTGTTGTTGTTGTTTTTGTTGTTGTCATTGTTTTGAGACGGAGTCTTGCTCTGTTGCCCAGGCTGGAGTGCAGTGGCGTGATCTCGGCTCACTGCAACCCCTGCCTCCTGGGTTCAAGCGATTCTCCTGCCTCAACCTACCAAGTAGCAGGGACTACAGGTGCGCACCACCACGCCCGCCTACTTTTTTGTATTTTTAGTAGAGACGGGATTTCACCATGTTAGCCACGATAGTCTTGATCTCCTGACCTCGTGATCCGGGGGCCTCGGCCTCCCAAAGCGCTGGAATTACAGGCATGAGCCACCGCACCCGGCCCCTAATTAGAGATGTTTTAAAGTAAAAACATCATTTACAACAAGAAATGTAATTGTGAGCCAGCTGATGCTGTTGCAGCTTTGTCTGAGTCAAGGTTCAAAGGCAGAAGTGGAGGGTGAGGGTGGTGATCACAGATGAGGGCACCTCTCTGCTTGTGGGCCCTTGCAGCAATCTTGCATCTGAATGTTCCTCCTCCAGACGTGTCTGCAGCATGCCTTCTGCCCACACAGAGGCTATATTCCACTCCTCTTTTGTGGGAAGACTAAATTTTAAAATGGAAGCTCTTCTGAAAATTAGAGTCCCATTGGATCTGAAGCTTGGATGTCATGACATTCCCTGAGTACTACTCAATGTGTAACTGTTTCACGACTTTTGTTGGATGAAATGAACAATATAAATTCCAAAAAGCTTCACTCCATTTTTTTAGACTTTCAATCTTTTCCTGTGTTCTTGAGTGTTCTGCCTAAACTAGGAAATATTAAATTATCTAATTTCAGCAGTTGGAAGCTGTATTTGTAAATATTTTGATTAGTAAGTTTGTTAGACATTGTGTGGATAGGCCTAACTTCTAAATTTAATCTTTCCATTTTTTTTTTAAACAAAAAAAAAGCTGTGGCTGAAAATTATACCCATGCTGTGTGTGCAGATCACATACAGCAGACACTGGTCAATGCAGATTCAGGACAGTAGTTAAGTACATAAAGAAGGTTTGCTAGAATATTTCCATGTCCCACAGGATTCACCATAGTCACTGAGTTTGGCTGAGACTATCAGCTTTTTTCTTCCCACCTGCCTTCCTTATTTCCTTTTTCCCTCTTTTATTCATTAGATATTTATTGAGTCTCCACTATGTCATGTGCTATGTTAGTGCTAGAAATTCAGTGATTAGAAAAGCATGCATGGGGCTTAGAATCTAAGAGGTCAGTCGGACTTTAAATAATAGCACCAAGGTATATAAATACACTGAAATAAAAGTGCTTCAGGAGAGTATATAGCAGGGGGCCTAGAACTGCTCTGGAAGTTCAGAAAAGCTCCCTGAGGGAAATAGCCCTAAGCTACACTGTGAAGGATGATGGGGAGCCAGCTAGGAGACGGCAGCTCATGCAAAGGTCCTGAAAATTGAGGACCATGTCAAAGATGTCACTATCTGAGACCAGTGGTATGGAGGTGAGAAGAATTTACCAAGACAGTTGTTAGGTAAAGAAAGGCAGGTTTCTTAGAGAGAGTATAAAAATATGCTGTAAGGGAACAATGACCAGTTAGTAAGAGAGGAGCTGACTGCAAAGAGACAAAGGCTTGCTGGGGATTTCAGAGAACAGTGCTTATGCTGTGTGCCGAAGAGGGCTTTTTGCAGTACTGATAACGCCAAGGTGGCAGTGAGCTCACTTGCATTTTTCCATCAGCCAAAGGTCTGACGATAACTGGGTGCAGGAAGATAGTGAGTTGTTTGCACAGGAGGGCTACGTGTCCTGGACCATGAAGAAAGTCAGACACAACTTATCTGCTTTTTCTTTTTCTTTTCTTTTCTTTTTTTGTTTGAAATGGAGTTTCATGCTTGTTGCCCAGGCTGGAGTACAATGGCGCAATCTCAGCTCACTGCTACCTCCGCCTCCCGGGTTCAAGCGATTTTTCTGCTTCAGCCTCCCAAGTACCTGGGATTACAGGCGCACACCAACACGCCCAGCTAATTTTTTTTTCCTTTTTTTTTTTTTTTTTTTTGTATTTTTAGTAGAGACGGGGTTTCACCATGTTGGCCAGGCTGGTTTTAAACTCCTGACCTCAGGTGATCCACCTGCCTCAGCCTCCCAAAGTGCTGGCATTACAGGCGTGAGCCACGGTGCCCAGCTCAATCTGCTTTTTCTTTTTTCTTTCCCTCAGTCTTGCCATCCTGACTCCTTTTCCCTAATTAGGACTCCACAAAAGATTTCCATCATTATCCAAAAAGAAAAAGGAAAACATTGAAGAGTTTAAAATATAGAAAAGAGAGTCAGATTTTTGAATTTTTAAAAAATCTCTGTGGCTGCATAAAATAGGCAAGGGAGGGGTAAGGAAAGCTAGAGTGGATCGGGTGAGAAATGGTGGTCTGTGGCTGTAGGATAGAGTGGAGCATGGGGGTGGGGAGGGTCCAGACTCCCTCCTAAGTCTCTCTTCTGAACATTAGATGAATTCACTTGTGACACCATCAGCTCTGGGACTTTTCTTTGTCTGGAGTTTTTTTTTTTTTTTTTTTTTTTGGAGACACAGTCTCACTATGTTGCCAAGGCTGACCTCAGACTCCTAGGCTCAAGTGATCCTCCTGCCTCAGCCTCCCAAACAGCTGGGACTACAGGTGTGCACCACCACTCCTGGCTGTCTGGAGATTTCTGATTATTGATTCAGTCTCCTTACTAGTCATAGGTCTGTGACCTATTTTCCATGTCTTCATGGTTTAGTCTTGGTAGGTTTTGCGTTTCTAAGAATTTGTCCATTTCATCTAGTGTATCCAACTTGTTGGGGTACAATTGCTCCTCTTACACTCTCTTACAATCTTTTTTATTTCAGTAAGTATGTAGTTAATGTTCCCACTTTCTTTCTTTATCTTCAGCTGTTGTTTATTGACATAGAGATAGGCTCTATAGCCACAGGCTCAGAGGCGGCTGCAGTAGTGGGGGAAAATGGAAGGTGGAGGGTGAAGTGTTTGCTGCAGGACAGCTGAGTGGAGAGCGGGCACAGGTGCCAGTGAGGAAGGCCCAGGGGATTGGGAAGCAAGTAAGGGCCAGGGTCAGGATCTGCTTAAACTGGAACTACTGCCCCATGCCCTAAGGTCCCTAACTCTCACTGGCTGTTTCCTGACCCCAGGACAGGGTTGGGAGTCCTCTGGGCTTCCATTTTCTAAAGCAACTAAACAGAGTACACAGAAGAAAGGAAGCTGCCACCCTCTTGCCATACACTCTGGGGGCCTCTGTTCTGCATTCCTCCTTCTTCTCTTGCTTGGGTGGGGCCACATGATGGGCAGCCAGGCTCCGGGCTCTCCCGCCACAGCAGGCTCTAAAAACAGCCACGTTTCAGCGAGGCATAAATCTTCTTCCCTGGTGTTCCAGCCCACCAGTGCCACACTACAGCCCAGAGTGAGCTCTATAAGCATTGCTGGCCTAATGGATGCATTGGGGGAAGGGGGTGGGACAGGGGCTGGAGGAAGAGCTCTGGAGTCCATCACAGCACAGGAATAACACACAGGGTGGTGGAGAAGCCAGGGCCAGGGTGTCACCAGGTCAGCACAATGACCACATCATCCTTCTTGAAGAAGCCTCAGGCCTTACCAACATTCATGGCCAAGTTCACTCGGAGGTCCACATCCTCAGCCTAGGGCTCCTGGATGGGGTCCTTACACAGCACAGGGAAGATACCACGGTACAGGTGGGCCTGGCGAGCTGCCTGGGGATGCCATGTCACAACAATCATGGGGGCACGTGGGCAGTATCTGGCCACCTGGTGGGCACACCTGCAGACTTGGTGAGGACGATTATGGCCCCACTGCAGCACTTGAAGGAGGCCTCCACAGTGCCCATGGCAGTAGCTTCTGCGGGGTCACTGGTAATGGGTGCCAGGTGGCAGAACTCCTCAAATAATTGCAAGTGGTAGATGGTGGCCTCTGCCTCACAGGCAATCAGGTGCTGCATGTGCACAGCCTCCAGAGGATAGTTCCCTTTGGCTGTTTCTCCAGACAGCATGATGCAGTCAGCTTCCACCAGAACTGCATTGGCCACACCACTGCCCTCAGCCCAAGTGGGGTGGAGCTTCTTGATCACATCCTCTAGCATCTGAGTGGCAAGATGACAGGCTTCCCAGCTTGGTTGCACCACCCAATCATCATCCTCTGAGCAAGGCAGACCTTCCCTGCAGGAATCTCATCTCGACGGCTTGTGGTGGATCACCACGAGCTACCATAATCCCATCGCTGGCCTCCAGGATTTCATCAAACCTCCAACCCCCATCATGATTCTCAATTTTGCTGGTTATCTTGCTGTTCTTTCCTTTCTCTCCCAAGACCTTCCTAACTTCATGGACATCAGATGTCTTGCAGATGAATGATGAAAACATCATATCGACATCTTGCTCGCCCCCAAACTTCAGGTCCTGGATGTCCTTCTCCAACATGGCAGACAGGTCCACGGCAGCCCCAGGAAGGTTCACACTCTTCTTGCTGCCCAAGGAGCCACCATTTTCCACCTCTGTCACCAGAAAGTGAGCATCCTTCTGCTTCACTTGGAGAGAAATTAGCCCATCATCCACGTAGATCTTGCAGCCCACTTCCACCACCTTGCAGATGTTCTTGTAGTCCCGCCACAGGATGTTCTCTTACCCTTTTCCATGTAGGTATTATCCAGCGTGAACTTGAGAGTGGCTCCCTTCTTCAGCTCCACCTCTGCAGTGCCGCTGCCCTTGACGGGCCCAGTTGGGATCTCAGGTCCTTTAGTGTCTGGAGCCACAGCAATGGGCTGGTAGAGGATGGAGTCAGAAGCAAAGCTTTCCGTGGCTGTGCGCACGTTCTTGATGGTCTCTGTATGGTACTCATGGGCTCCATGAGAGTTCAGATGAGCCACATTAATTCCAGACTTAATCGTTTTCTTCAGCATCTCTAGCAATGGAGAAGCTGGGCCCATAGTACAGATGATGCCAGTGCTCCAGGCTGTGATGGGTGGCGAGTCAGTGTCCAGGCAGCACATGTGCTCCAAGAATGTGTCAGCCATGGCTGCGTGCAGCTGCTGGGTCTGAATGAAGGCAGCCCTGGCTTCACTATGGGGCTTCAACATGGCTTCTGAGGTCCTCCAGTGCTGACCGACTTGGGCTACGCTGCAAACGCAGAGAGGTCAGGAGCCCCGGGATGTGCAGCAGCTGTGCCCACTTTCATTTCTAATTATAGAAATTTGAGTGGTCTTTTTTCCTTAATTCATGTAGCTAAAGGTTTGTCAATTATGTTGATCTTTTCAAATAACCAACTTTTTTTGATTTTTTTGATTTTTCGTATTATTTTTCTATTTTCCAGTTCATTTATCTCTGCTCTAGTTTTTCTTAAGGAAAATATATTTTTTAAAACATAAATTAGCTTTCTTTATTGTTAGTTACTAACTTTGAAAGTTTTATTCTTTTTTAAGGAAACATTTTTAAAAACATAAATTAGCTTTCTTTATTGTTCGCTACTAATTTTGAAAGTTTTATTCTGCATATGGTAACATGGTACACAATTATTTTTAAAAATTTCAATCTCCACAAATGCTTGTGTTTGAAAATCATCTTGTTCTTCTTCTCTAAATCCTTATGCAGCTGGAATCTATTTTATCATTTTAACTTTATTTTTTATCTTATTTTATTTTATTAAAGATTCAGGGGTTCCATGTGCAGGTTTGTTACACAGATATATTGCATAATGCTGGGGTTTGGAATTCTAGTGAACCCATCACCTAAACAGTGAACATAGTACTCTACAGGTATTTGGAAAGGAATTTTTAGTGAGAGAGATAATAAGACATTTTATGCTAATGTCAATGATCCCAAAGAGAAGAAAAATTAATGATGTAGCAAAAGGATTTCTGGAAGAATGTTTCTGGGTTTGTTAGAGGAGGTGTCGTTTAGCATGAAGTGGTAGGATGGTTTTGATAAGAGCATCGATAGGAAATCTGAGGTCCTGGGTGGGAAGGCAGAGAAAGTGGGTACAGATAGGTGAGCAAATGTCAGGGCAATTACTGCTGCAAGAGAATCATTACTTCTGTGTGCCTTCCTTATCTCTATAGCTATACTCTGGGGTGGGATAGAAAAGAAACAGAATAGGAGGCAGGAACTGGCTTTATTATTTCTCCAGCTGGGAAATCTGCAGTGTGCCCAGCAGTCCATAATGGAACATGGGCCAAGGTTGTGGGGTGATGTAATTCATGAAGGACATGATTTCCAAATGGCATCAAGAGATGGTCATTGTGTGAGTGTGTGTGAAAGGTGTCAAACCTAAACATTTGAAATAGATGACAGTATGTGCTTCTTTATTATTTTAAAAATATTATTTAGGGTCCTCAAACAAGAGAACTAACTTAGATGTCTCATCCTCTGATAGGTCCTACCTGCCTTACACGCTAACTTGATCATCTTTCTCACATTGAATTATAGTGAACAATGACTAAAGTTTAGCTGGTTTTTTACTGGCTTGTCTTGTAAAGGTCCCAGGGCCTGCATAGGATTGTCACAGAATGGGGCTGAGGTATGTGCCTTCAGCCTAGCTACCTCATTCCTCTATGCCATGGAGGGAGAGGACTCACTACCATTTCACACATTTCTCTACCCTCTGTTTCCTGTGGGTTATATAAGATCTGGTGGCTTGATTAGCTTCAGATTCCATCTAGATGGTGCTAGTATTGTGTATTTTGTGACATCTGGGATACATCATGTCTGCCAGTTCCACTGTTCCATTTCCAGTAGGCTAAGGTTGACCAGTGGGTTCATGGATACCCATCTGTTAGCAAGGCCTCGCTCAACCTTCACTTCATGGTTTTGATAGCCATTGATGATCATTCCTGATACCATTATTTCAATGAGTTGCAAATTGGTGATTTTCTAATTCTAACATTCCTCCTCCATTATCGATTGTGATTTTTTTTTTTTTTCTTTTTGAGACGGAGTTTTGCTCTTGTTGCCCAGGCTGGAGTGCAATGGCACTATCTGGGCTCACCACAACCTCCACCTCCGGGGTTCAAGCAATTCTCCTGCCTCAGCCTCCCGAGTAGCTGGGATTACAGGCATGCACCACCACACCTGGCTACTTTTGTATTTTTAGTAGAGGCAGTGCTTCTCCATGTTGGGTCAGGCTAGTCTCGAACTCCTGACCTTAGAGGTGATCTGCCCACCTTGGCCTCCCAAAGTGCTGGGATTACAGGCATGAGCCACCGCGCCCGGCCAATTGTGATTTTTCTATAAATGAAAACTTTTCTTCATGAGCTACTTGGTTTCTCTGAAAAAAAAAATGAATACAGAAGAAACAGGATGGATGTTTTATTCCTTTCCTCTATTCATCAGTCTTCAGAATAATGACTTGGTGCCCAAGCAACTCCCAAAGGTAGTTAACCACTGAGTTGCGTGTTGCGGTTTTTGTGAGAGGGTGGTATGGTGTATTATTATAAACTCTTGGATTTTTATATGCTTGACATTTTCAATCCATTTCAGCCATTATTCTTTTTTATCCAAATTATCCATCTCTAGCCAGTGAGTATCATTTCAAGTTGATGCATGTGTCCTTTCAACATGACCCCAGGAATCTAATCTTTGACTGCTTCTTTTCTTTCTGTCTCAATTTATGCATTTCCTGCCCCAGACCTGGAAATGGCTACTTTTCTAAGGAGCCCTGGTACCTTTTTGTGAAAGGTATATAAAGTCCACATTCTGAGTGTCTGTAAAGTCTTCTAAGTTGTTTTCTAGGTTCTACTCCCCCCCTCACAGATCTACCATAAGTAGCATTCCCATATGAAAATTCCTGGACCCCTGGTGGGATAGATCATCCCGCTGCTAAAGACCTTTCAGCAAACTTTTGGGGCCAACAGCATACAAGCCATTCACATCAGCTAAGACATTCCTGCCCCTGGCCCTGCTTTTTCTCTCACTGCAGCTTTGCAAGAACACTAGGATACAGGATACAGCCAGGCAGCCCTGGCTCCTGGAGAACTTCATGCCACCCTATATGTGTCATGGTTGGGGTTGAGCCAGAGTCAAGCCAGAGAATGGGGTGTGGGACACGACAGCACCAGGGTTGGTCCCATCTCTATCATTTGCAAGCTGGGTGATTTCGAGTTCATCATCTCTCCCTCAGTGCCTGCAGGCTCCTCATTTACAGAAAAGGAGAGGAAAACAACAACCTCACAGGGTCATTGTGAAGATTAACTGGGACCTACATACAGCACCGAACCCAGGACACTAAAAGACCATAAATAATAGTTTCCTGCCCTTTCCCAGATCACTTACCCTCAGTTATATAATCAGATGGTTCAGAATCTAAAAATTCTGAGTTCTTCCTAAAGTGCTGCAGCTATTTTTACCTGTCCTTTCACAAAAGGTTACAGTCCTGTCCTGTTGTCGGGGAGAGGGCAGCCCTGAGT